>NC_000010.11:49537034-49688549 GCF_000001405.40 Homo sapiens
AATTTCAGAAGTGAAATAAATCATACATTTGCCGGGAGCGGTGGCTCATGCCTGTAATCCCAGCACTTTGGGAGGCCGAGGCGGGAGGATCACGAGGTCAGAAGTTCGAGACCAGCCTGACCAACATAGTGAAACCCCGTCTCTACTAAAAATGCAAAAATTAGCTGGGCATGGAGGCGCGCGCCTGTAATCCCAGCTACTCGAGAGGCTGGGGCAGGAGAATCGCTTGAACCCAGGAGGCGGAGGCCGCAGTGAGCGAGATCGCACCACTGCACTCCAGCCTGGGCGACAGGGCAAGACTCCGTCTCAAAAAAAAAAAAAAAAAGAAAGAAAGAAATCATACATTTAACAAATAGTTACTGAGAGTTAATTACACCAGGCAATGTACTAGGTTAACTAATTCCTGTCCCCAAAGAGCTTAGAGTCTCATGGGAAAAACAGACATTTAAAAACTATATATATATATATACACATACACACACACACACACACACACACACAAATATAATTGTGGTGACTGCTGTTAAGAGGAAAGTACAAGGCTTTCTGACAAAATGAGAGAAACCAAATTGAAATTGTGGAGGTAGATGTGGGGTCAAGGAGGCCTCTCTGATAAAGTGACATCTGATAAGTCAGTCAGGTCGAAAGTAAAGTGAACGTCTTGCAAGGAAACAACGTGTGAAATTTTTTTTTTTTTTGAGACGGAATTTCGCTCCGGTTGCCCAGGCTGGAGTGCAACCTCCGCCAGGCTCCGCCAGGCTCACTGCAACCTCCGCCTTCCGGGTTCAAGCGATTCTCCTGCCTTGGCCTCCCGATTAGCTGGGATTACAGGCATATGCCATCATGCCCGGCTAATTTTTCGTATTTAGTAAAGACAGGGTTTCACCACGTTGGTAAGGCTGGTCTCGAACTCCTGACCTCGGGTGATCCACCCACCTCGGCCTCCCAACAACGTGCGTAACTTTTAAGACTAGAAAGAGCTGATGCACTTGTGAAAATGCAAGAAGGCTGGAACACCGAATTTTTGACTTTATTTTTAACTTTGAGTTAAGAAGAGCAGAGAAGGGCTCCGTTCATGGCCTAAGTCTTGCAGAGTATCTTCTAAGGCTTAATCATCTGGGACACTAGTATCTTCACCGTCCTCCCCCATCACTGGGGCTCCCGCAGCCAGGGGCAAGCTGGGTCTCATTTGGAGGGTTGGTCGGACACAGGCACAGTTCTGAGAGGGGACAGGCAAGGGCCAAATCACACAAGGCCTGGGAAAACACGAGCATGGATTCCACTCCCAGTGCAATGGAATGACTCTGAAAACTGTTAAGTAGGCTGATGATGGCATGACCTACTTTATGCCAGAGACCACCTGGACAACTGTGCGGATAATGGATTGGAGGAGACAAAGCAACAAGAAGATGATGGGAAAAGTTGAGGAGAAAAGCGAGGGCTGCCTGTCACAGGATGACAGCAGTTAAGACGCTGCGTGGAAGTCACGTAACAGCAGCATTTACAGGCGGCCTGCCTCATCCGCCCACACTCTTATCAATTTGACTCTATCAACGCCCAAAACGTCGGACGTACATCTAGCCCGACTCTCTTTAAAATAACAGCTCCAGCATTTTAATCGAGATCAAAAAGGACCCAGCTGACCCTGCGCGCAGGGGGCCTTATACAAAGTCGGAGAAGTAGCTGGGTCGCTGGCCGGCCAGGGACTCAAGCCGCCTCAGGTGAGCGCTCCTTGGCGCTACTTCCGGTCTCAGGTGAGGCCGCCGGAAGCGGGCACTTGGCCCTAAGACCCGCTACAGTGCGTCCTCGCTGACAGGCTCAATCACCACGGCGAGGCCAAGGCGCGGGGCCGCGGCCCGCCCGAGAAGCCTGAGCTGGGCCCCGACACCCCCTGCCCGACATTCGGCCGGGACCCCCGAACACTCACCCAGGGCCGCGCGAGCGCCCACAAGGAAACAGAGACGCTACCGCCGCCAGCCGCCTTGGAACCCAGCTCGACGGGCCGTGGCGCCTGCGCCCTCAGCTCAACCATAGACACCGCCCCCAACAGCGACTCCGACTTCTGCTGGTGCGGGGAGGCCCGTGGCGCATGCGCCTGGCTCAGCGTTTGTTTTTAAGCACGGGCAAGACCACGTGGTTTGGAGGGACGGGCTCAGCAGCGCCTTTCTACTTGCGTGCGAGCAGGGCGAGAAAGCTGTCTCCGCTGCCGGTCAGCTGGGTGGCTTGCGAAGGACGCTTCGCCCCTAGCGAAAAATACCCTGCTGGCAAGGCAGTTATGAAAGTTAAGACATATTTCCACGTAGAGGGGGATGCGGGTGTGCCATGCGAATGTAAATCCTCACAATTAACCTTGAACCCTGCAGAGAAAGTCAGCTTGGGCAGGGAAGTTAGCCGCACTTTTTGGTCGCCAGGCTGTGACCTCTCTTGTTGTCTCCCACGACTGAACACGGGAAGGATGGAGAGCTGTCCTGCTTCTCTGTTCCCCCTCCGCCACGCGCGCACCTGGGCGGAGTGAGTGCCTACAGAGCCTGCTTACATGTGTACATTGCCTTAAGTCCAGCGTTTAGTATCCGTCCTCAGATCTCAGAGGTAGGCGGGGTTTCGAGGCAGGCGAGAATTTTACCGTGGTGCGTTTGAAGAAAGAAGATGTCCACACAGAGGTTCAGAACAATGGGAGGAAGTTGAGCTTCGCCTGGGGAAAGAAGCAGCCCACGATGCAGGATGGCTGTACCAGACAGAGCTTCTCAGCTCAGGATCGGTGCTAGGAGAAGGTGGACTTTCCAGGGCCGCGAGGCAGGACGTCCTCTGGGAGGGCAGTGACTGCGGGTCACTGCCTGGGAAGTGCTGTCCTCACTTGGAAGCCTGAAGTCGGACAATAGGGAAATGGGGTCGGAAAGGGGACTAGGAAATGCTCCATAACATCATCTTATTCCTCCTGTCAGCGGCCCCAACCCACAATGTAACTTGTTTTTGTTGGTGGTAGTGGGTTTTTTTGTTTGTTTTGTTTTTGTTTTTGTTTTTGAGACGGAGTTTTGCTCTTGTCGCCCAGGATGGAGTACAATGGCACGATGTGGGCTCACTGCAACCTCCTCCTCCCAGGTTCAAGCGATTCTCCTGCCTCAGCCTGCCGGGTAGCTGGGATTACAGGCGCCTGCCACCATGCCCAGCTAATTTTTGTGTTTTTAGTAGAGACGGGGTTTCGTCATGTTAGCCAAGCTGTCCGCGAACTCCTGACCTCAGGTGATCCACCCGCCTCGGCCTCCTAGAGTTCTGGGATTACAGGTGTGAGCCACCACGCCCGGCTTGTAACTTGCTTTTTTTTTTTTTTAAAGGAGAAAGAATTCTAGCGATTTCTTGGATAAAATATTAAGAATAGAAAGGCAGTTGATTGACATTAGTTTCAATGCTTGAAAGTAAAAGCAGATATATAGTGGATCCCAACTTTTGAGACTGAGGTTCCCTTTGCAGCTATTTTGGAGACCCTTCCTATATCAGAATTTGGACAGGAAAAAATGGTCCACTCAAAAGGGGAAGTTGAGAGTTATTATTTACAAAGACGTGGGCGGGGTTCAGGAAAACAACTCAGGGTGGCACAACTGGAGCTATTAAGGGCCGAATTGTGTCCCCTCCCCAAAATTCATATGCTGGAGTCCTAACCGCCACTCCCCACCCCCACCCCGGGACCTCAGAATGTGACTGTATTTGAAGATAGGGTCTTTAATGAGGGAATTTAGTTAAATGAGGTCCCAAGTTATTTAGCAAGTCGTCCAAGCCCTTTTATACTCCTGCCCCATCTAATTTTTCTGCATCACTTGTGTCCTTCACTCCCTGGATGCCTATGCTCAGGATTTAGGGAACTACTTACTCTTCTCCCAGGAAGGGTGTGCTACAATTGGCTTCTACGGCCTAGCAAGCATACTGTTCACCTCTTCCCAGCTGCCTTAGCTCAGGCTGCCATAACAAATGCCATAGACTGGGCAGCTTAAACAACAGGCATTTGTTTCTCATAGTTCTGGAGGCTGGGAAGTCCAAGATCAAATGCAGGCAGATTTAGCTCATTTAGGGGAAGCTCTCCTCATGGCTTGCAAATGGTTACCTTCTCACTGTGTCCTTACATGGGGTAGAGAGAGGGCTCTGTCTTCCCTTTCTTCTAAGGCATCAGCCGTATTGGATTAGGGACTCACCCTTATGATCTCATTTAACCAGATTTGCTGCCTAAAGACCCTGTCTCCAAATAGTCACATTGAGGGTTAGGGATTCAGCATATGAATTTGGGGGGCACCCAGTTTAGCCCATAGCACCAACTCTGCCTTTGTTGACTTCACATTAATAGCTTGAAATCAGCCATAGTAGGAGTATTTATACCACAGAAATGGACAAACTATAAACTGGAACTTTGGGGGAGAGGCAATTATTAATCTTTTCCCACATACCCCTACTTGTTATTCTGTCACTTCTGTGATCTTACAAGCAGGTCCCTCTGCTTAGAATTCTCTTACCCATTCCAAACTCAGACAAAGTTTCTCTTTTCTGAAGCTTTCCCCTACCCTCTGACAGCAATAGGCTCTTGCATCTCCTGTGTACCCCCAAACCAATATTTCTAATGTCATTATTATAGTAGTTATTGATTTGGATTTTAATCCATTTTCCCTACCATTTCCTAGCCCTTACTCTAAGCTGGGCATTATTTTAAACACCCCACCCAAGGGGTTCTTCCTGCCCACTGCATAAAGAAAGACCATAGCATTGTGGTAGAAAAAGAGCTTAATAGACACGAGGCCGACCATGCCAGGTGGGAGATGGAGTGCATGCTCAGGTCATCTGATCCAAAGTCCGAAGCTCATAGGCTGGGGGTTTTTCAAACGCAGTTTGGAGGAAGGGGTGGGAGTGGCCAGGTAACAGGTGCTTGCTGCTGATTGGTTGAGGCTGAGATGAAATCATAGGGGGAGTCAAAGCTGTCCTCCTGCAGTCTGAATCACTTCTGGGTGGGGCTGTGGGAGTGGGGTTGGCGGTCCAGGTGGAGCCATGGGTGTCAGACATGCAAAAAACCTGGAAAGATATCTCAAAAAGCTACAAATAGTGGTTGTATTAGTCTGCTCTCGTGCTGCTAATAAAGACATACCCAAGACTGGGTAATTTATAAAGGAAAGAGGTTTAATTGACTCACAGTTAAGCATGGCTGGGGAGGCCTCTGGAAACTTACAATCATGGTGACAGGGGGAGCAAACATGTCCTACTTCACATGGTGGCAGCAAGGAGAAGTGCAGAGTGAAGGAGGGGGAAAGCCCCTTATAAAACCATCAGATCTCGTGAGAACTCACTATCAGAACAGCATGGAGGTAACCACCCTCACGATTCAGTTATCTCCCACCGGCTTCCTCCCACAACATGTAGGGATTATGGAAACTACAATTCAGGATGAGATTTGGGTGGGGACACAGCCAAACCATATCAGTGGTGTTATTTGCAGGAGTAATTGGGAAAGTTGAGTATCTTATAACCTCCAGAATAATGACTGACAATCGTTCATATCTGCGCCTTAGCAGGACTCAGGCTCCTCTCCTCCCCCACAGCCTGATAGCTTCCCATTAGCTTTACAAAAACAGTTGAGTTTCAGGCAAGGTCTGTTATCATGTAAACTATAGCCTAAATGTCTCTCAAAGTTAGCTGGCCCCAGTAGCTTAGAAATAATTAAGGGAAAGGCAAGATAGGTGTTGGAATGGGGGCGTTAACTCAGACCTCTTTCACTGTCATAATTTTCTAACTGATATAATTTTTGCAAAGGTGGTTTCATTGTCTTGAGTGCTTTACTAATGTTAACTTGTTTAACTATGACGATATTCATCCTTGCGCCTTTATTTCACATTTCGTGTTCAATATAAGGAATTCTCCCAATGACCTACAGAACAGAGGTCTGAGTTGACTCTCACTTTTCAAAACTTCTGGGTAACGGCAGTGCAACAAAACCGGTTTGGTTCTCTGATCCTTATAAATGGGGAAAACTCATGAAAAATAATTAGATGTATTGGAAACACAATAAATACTTTGTAAAAATTATAAATCAAAAAAGAAGCAAAAGCATATTATTTAGAACTGTGTTGGCAACCACTAGAAAAACATGTTAAATGTATGTTGAATAAATGAATCAGCAAGCTTAAAAGCAATGAATGTATAAAACCATCCATTGTGAACTGTTACCAGGAAGGATTCCCGATCCAGATGCCGAGAGAGTTCTTAGACCTTGAGTAAGAAAGAATTCGGGGCAAGTCCATAGAGTAAAGTGAAAGCAAGTTTATTAGGAGAGTAAAGGAATAAAGAATGGCTACTCCATAGGCAGAACAGCAACTTGGGCTGCTTGATGAGAATACTTATAGTTATTTCTTGATTATATGCTAAAGAAGGGGTAGATTATTCCTGAGTTTTCTAGGAAAGGGGTGGGTAATTCCCAGAACTGAGGGTTCTTCCCATTTTTAAACCATATAGGGTAACTTTCTGATATTGCCATGGCATTTGTAAGCTGTCATGTGCTGATAGGAGTGTCTCTTAGCATGCTAATGCATTATAATTAGCATATAAGGAAGAGTGAGGATGACCAGACATCACTTTCATTGCCATCTTGGTTTTCGTGGGTTTTGGCCAGCTTCTTTACCGCAAACTGTTTAATCAGCAAGGTCTTTGTCACCTGTATCTTGTGCCAACCTCCTACCTCATCCTGTGACTTAGAATGCCTGCCCTCTTGGGAATACAGCTCAGTAGGTCTCAGCCTTATTTCACCCAGCCCCAATTCAAGATGGAATCACTCTGGTTCAAATGC
The DNA here is from genome assembly GCF_000001405.40 of Homo sapiens. NCBI lineage: Eukaryota > Metazoa > Chordata > Mammalia > Primates > Hominidae > Homo > Homo sapiens. Next base: position 49,543,849 of record NC_000010.11, read on the forward strand.
CTCTGACATATTTCTCCCTTCCCTTTTACAAGGGAACGCCTAATCCAAAGGGTAGTAGAGGGACAAAGATCCATCTTCTGTAACTTCTTCAAGCTGAATAAGGGCTATGCTACTCCTACCTAACTATTATGGTCTCTTGTATTCAGGGTAGTGAGGAGCTCAGTCAGAAGGCATCACTATGGTGAGGGACATTCATAACTCTTGAGGGCAAAAGGTGATATCTGGAAGATTAAAAAGTATTCAATTTAATTAAACATTGAGTAAGCTTATCCTGCACTCCCACACGGAGTACAACAGCAATATGTTCCACAACGGTAAAGCAAAATAAGTAAAACTATCCCAAGTAAACTAAATTAGAAGGCTTTCCATGAACTCGGCAACAGCTGGAACTGGGCAAGCTGATATGAAGTTGCTGTACATGCTATATGTTCCAATTAGAATTAGAATATTGATCCAGATTTTTACATTACCCATTTCTGTTATTTTTTTTCTGAGCAGCAGCCAGAGATCACTGGTTAGTTGGCAGGAAAAAGTAGGGTTAGTCTAAATTGCAAGGAAGAAAAAACCCTTAAAAATAACTGATGAGACTAGAATCTAATAACAGGTGTACCATAGTTGAAACATAACTTTTTTCTCTCTTCAGGCTCCCACTTTTATTAAAGACAAATCATGGTAAGACTGATTTGCTTCCAACTAAATAAATTTAGTTTTATACTTGGCCTGATTCTTCGTAAAAAGGGCAGCAAGAATAATTATTTTTCACATGGGTTTTTTTTTTGTAATTGGATTTGATGGATCTTTGTTCTATAAGGAATTTTAAATAAGACTTTTTTTAAAACTGAGCCCAGCCATGGGTTGCTGCCATCAAATACCTGTAAGTTGGGTAAATTCCTCTCCTCCTGAGGTCCCAAGATATTGGTGCTCCTGGGCCTCTCAGAAAGTTGCATTCTTTACTTATTACAGACCAAGAACCCTGTACAAGGACTGTGTAGACAAGGTATGAGGCCAGTTTTCCCAAGGGGCTTTTATTGTCTCTATAAGTCAAGTTTGATTCCTTGAAGCAGTTTGTTTATATTTGAAAGCATGCCATTCCAGTCAAAGGCTTGGTAAAATAATCAGTTCCTCCAACTGTGTCCTGTTGTAAAAGAAAACAGATTCTTACTGCACTTATGTAAATAACTATATTGCCATAAGAATACTCACAAATAGTTTCCAAATTCTGGAGAAATCAGGTAGAGAGAAATATGCTTCAAATTTTGTTTATAGGCATACTCAGCTGCTACAAGTTGTAAATAAAAGTTTTCTTGACTGTGAAAAACAAAACAAAGGATCAGCAACACTTTAAGAAAAAAAGTCAAAAAGATTACTTCAGGCTTCTATTAGTTTACTCCATGCAGTTGACTCCTGTTCTGCTTGATAGTCATGAATATTTCAGCTCTCCATGAGAGTCCTAAATGTTTTTTCCTCTATTCTAATGTCACAATCTCCTAAGTTATTCAGAAACCTGCATTTAAGAGCACCTGTCAAAGTCGTATAGTTGATTATAAACCACCTTTTGAAGAGGAACAATACAAGATAACACTTGTCTGTGGATGACAAAAAACCTTAGGACAGTCACTATTAAAGTCACAATTGACTAGGAATTTTGGTTACTTTTGTGCATACAAAGACTTGTCATAATTATAATTATTAACAATATACACTAAGTCATACAAGAATTATAGGAGTTTCTCAGCTGGGTGTGGTGGCTCATGCCTGTAATCCCAGCACTTTGGGAGGCTGAGGCAGGCGGATCATAAGGTCAGGAGATCAAGACCATCCTGGCTAAAACAGTGAAACCCCATCTCTACTAAAAATACAAAAAAAAAAAAATTAGCTGGGCATGGTGGTGGGTGCCTGTAGTCCCAGCTACTTGGGAAGCTGAGGCAGGAGAATGGTGTGAACCCAGGATGTGGCGGTTGCAGTGAGCAGAGATCACACCACTGTACTCCAGCCTGGGTGACAGGGCAAGAATCCGTCTCACAAAAAAAAAAAAAAAAAGTAAAAGAATTATAGGAGTTTCTCATAATTTTGGAACAGATACCAATAAATATTTATAAAAATACAGCCCAAAGAAAGCCAAACACCATTTCATATTTGACAGTGCTTTCTGTATGATTTTTATACCAAATAAGCCAAATTTCACCATGGCATTAGTGCATTATTGATGTTAAACCAAATTCTTAATAAAACCTTAAAGACAAATCTATCCAATTTTAATGTCTGACCATAAGGTAAGATTCTCATAAATCTTTTATAACCCCTTACAAATTTTTGTTAAAGAGTAGATAAGTGCTCTAAGAAAAACCTGTTGTGTTTTTATTCCAATGTTCAATTTATGAAAAAACCGAATAATTCCCCTTTAACTTTAGCCAATATGTTCACACACAGAATTTCTTTTACAATATGCATTTTTCACAAACCTCCCAGCACTTGCTCAAACCTTCAGCTTTATCCTATCTAACTTAAACCAATCCTTTAGCCCTCTAAACTAGGCCAAAAAAAAAGTCCACATTCCCATGCCTTCTTATAATATTTTACCAAAAATACATTTCACTTTCCTTACATACCTTGCATGTAAAACTGTTTCCCTAGTAGTCCGTTTTTTTTGTTTTGTTTTGTTTTGCTTTGTTTTGTTTTGTTTTGTTTTGAGGCAAGGTCTCATTCTATTACCCAGGCTGCAGTGCAGTGACACAATTTCAGCTCGATGCAACCTCCACCTCCTGGGCTCAAGCTATCCTCCCACCTCAGCCTCCCAAGTAGCTGGGGCTACAGACATCACCACCATGCCCAGCTACTTTTTGTATTTTTTATAAAGACAGGGTTTAGCCATGTTGCCCAGGCTAATCTGGAACTCATGAGCTTAAGCGATATTTCCACCTCAGCTTCTCAAAGTGCTGGGGATTACAGGCATAAGCCACTATGCCTGGTATATCTCTAGTAGTCTTAATTACATGTTACAATGTTAACTCTTAGCAACTTTTATTTTTGGTGAAAAACCTGGTAAGTAAGTGATTCTAATTATGTACCAGCTTTGGAGCTTAAGACACCAGACAGAAGTGTAGATAAGGTCTGACTCTTTCTAGCATAGCCAGGAGGCATGGCTAACTCCACATGTCCTCAGGCCTTACTTAGAATCTAATGGCTCCAAAGCAGGTACTAGAACAATTTTTAAAAGTGAAAGAAGCAATTGACCTTAAAGTATTCAGCAACCAGTGTAATTTAGACCAAATGTTTTAATTTTACCAATAATCTGTAAAACTGTCTTTATTTCCCAAAGATTAAATCAAATAATCTTTGGGAAATACAGATTGCTTGATTGATTTAAGCTCTTATTATTTTTAAGCCAATTAATCAGAGCTCTTTCATTTATACATATCACACATACAACACATTTAAATAGACAGACAGATCTAGTAGTTGTAAGATTTTTCATTTGCCAGCTTTTAAGTTTCTCTTTAAAGTGTGCAATTTCTAGGGCCTAATAAGCAGGCACAGCTGGAAGGCAAAACAGATTCCCCAAAATTTTGGGTCCCATTTTTATACCAGATCCTGGATCGCAAAAAGAGGAAATCAGGCCATTTCCCATGGGAGTCTTATCTCTCAGTAGTGAGTGGGTATATTTCCATATCTTCCAGGGGGCCAAGAGCATGTTTCTCTGATCCAAATGTGCAAAGAGTTGAGTATCCCCCCATAACTGTCATTAGCCATCCCTAAAAGTGCATTTCCTCCCTTGTTATTATACACTAAAGTTCTCTCACAGGGCAAATTTCTGATACCCCCAAAAGTCAAAAACATCAGATAATGCAATGCAAAAGAGAACAGAGCCTTATATTTTAGAGGGATCTATCCACTTTCGATTCCTGGGATTTTATGAGGAAAACAGAGATTTTTCCCAAAATGAGGTCGTGGCACCTCCTCTGTTTTTCCCAAGAAGTCCCATGCTGCTAGAAATTCTTAGGTCCTCTCATGTGTGCATCAAGAATGGCAAGAAGACAAAATGGAGAAAAACAGTTCATTCAACTGAGAAGAAAAAAAAACCTTTTTTCCAGAAAAACATCTTCCAAGAAGAGAAGAAACATAAAGTTCTTTTAAATATAGGTAAAGCTTGGCTATCCACTTTTAATTAAGCTAACTTTTAACCATACCACTCTTTTTAAAAAGTCCTTTTAAATTTCTTGTTACTGATCTCACCCAGGCCAAATGGCCAATATTTCTGGCTTTTGAATTTTACCAACAGTAACCTCTCAGGCAAAACCAGTAAGCCTTAACTAAGGTTATAACTTAACCACGAGTCAACGAGTTTTTTTCAAAGAGATGGTTAGCAGTTTTTACAAAATGTAAAATCTCCAAAGGTAGCTCAGAGAAAGGAAAATTCAAGAAGGAAGTCAGAAGTTGTTCACAGAGGGGCAGAGAATCAACAAATGGCAACATTCACACAGATATGAACCAAAAAGTACTCATTCCCTAGGCCAGGAATTGAACCCTGAACCCGGGCCCCCATTGTGAAAAGACAAAGCCTTAGCCACTAAGCTACAGCACTGGACAGTTTCTGTTACTCTTCCCAGAAGGAGCCTAGAAGCAGCCAATTCTTAGCTTGCAAAAACTTTTAACTGCTCAAGACAATTTTTAAGGCTATGACATGAATTCCAAAATTCCTATTCTCCGGATGGTGGAGAAAGAGAAACTACTGCCCCGCAGTTACAAGATCAAGCTCCCAAGAACGTAGAACAAGATGAGAGGGAAACCTCATCCAGTTTCATTGTTTCAGGGACCTGCAGCAAAGTTTGTTACTGACCAGCTTGCTGGAGTGTGTTGAACAGTGGTTTTATGGGATACTAAGCCCATGTTCTCTCCTAAGATACTCTTCTTTATGACAGAATGATACAGAAAGACAAATTTATAGCACAAAATACATCAGATTCACTACAGCTTAAGACTAGCCTCAGAAATCCTTTTTCTCATTAATTAAAATTGCAAGAGATAATGCAAGAGATGGTGATTTTTACCATTCCTACAACAAATTTGTGCAGAGAGATAGGAAAAGGAAGGGAGAAAAGCATTGCCTGCAGTGGGGTAGGGAAGGCAAAGAGCTCATGGAGGCCAGAGAAAGACCCACCCATTGCAGTGACACTGAACCAGAAGTTCAGGTGGCCACTTGTCAGCCACAAAGGGATATTTTCCAGCATGCCCATCAGCTCTCAATTGTCCCCCTTTGGGGAGGAAAAAGCTCCCCATGTCCCATGGTCCTGTACATGCTTAATTCTGTCACCCACAGCCATCAGCAAAGAATGCAAGACAGATTAATCCAGAGAGAATAATAGTCAACATCCTGCAGGGCCAAATCCATTTTTAACCAAGAAGGACTTTACTGACAGGGGCCTCTAACCCCCTAAATCTTAGGAAGGACTCTAACCTTCCTAAGTTGGGCCTCAAACCCAAGTTCAGTCAAGCATCCTTGCCTTTTATTAAGAGGGGCCTTTAACCCTCTCTGTCTTAGGAGAGACTCTAACCTTCCTAAGTTAGGCCTCTAACCCAATCTCATCCTTTACCTGAGTAAAATGTACCCCGCCATGTACCCAAAGTTAGCCAATTGGTGCTGCAGTCTATTTCGTTTGGGTCAGGGTCTCCTCAGTATAGTCCCTTTGTGGTTCACCAGGAAGATGTTGCCAGAAAGGGATGTCAATCCAGACCTCAAGAGAAGGTTCCTGGATCTTGTGCAAGAAAAAATTTGAGGCAAATCCATAGAGTAAAGTAAAAGTAAGTTTATTAAGAAAGTAAAGGAATAAAGAATAGGCAGTGCAGCCCCAGGGGCTGTTGGTTGCCCATTTTTATGGTTATTTATTGATGATATGCTAAAAAAGGAATGGATTATTCATGAGTTTTCTGGGAAGGGGGTGGGCAGTTCCCAGAACTGAGGGTTCCTCCCCTTTTTAGACCATATAGGGTAACTTCCTGACATTGTCATGGCATTTGTAAACTGTCATGGTGCTTGTGGGAGTGTCTCTTAGCATGCTAACACATTATAATTAGTATATAATGAGCAATGAGGATGACCAGAGGTCACTTCACCACCATCTTGGTTTTAGTGGGTTTTGGCTGGCTTCTTTACTGCATCCTTTTATCACCAAGGTCTTTGTGACCTGTGTCTTGTGCTGACCTCCTGTTTGATCCTGTACTTACAAATGCCTAACCTCCTAGGAATGCAGCCCAGTAGGTCTCAGCCTTATTTTACCCAGACCCTATACAAGATGGAGTTGCTCTGGTTTAAACACCTCTGACATAACCACCCAACACATTCACCTTGCCTGCTGCCTAGAGCCTAGACAGAGCCAATTTATAAAGACAGAGGAGCTGCAATAGAGAAAGGGTAATTCATGCAGAGCTGGCTGTGCAGACCAGAGTTTTATTATTACTCAAATCAGTCTCCCTAAGAATTCGGAGATCAGAGTTTTGTTTTGTTTGTTTTTTTGGAGACACAGTCTCTCTCTGTTGCCCAGGCTGGAGTGCGGTGTTGTGATTTCAGCTCGCTGCAACCTCCTCCCAGGTTAAAGCAATTCTTGTGCCTCAGCCTCCTGAGTAGCTGGGATTACAGGCAAGCACCACCAAGCCCAGCTAATTTTTGTATCTTTAGTAAAGACAGGGTTTCACCACATTGGCCAGGCTGGTCTTGAACTCCTGGGCTCCAGTGATCTGCCTGCCTGGGACTCCCAAAGTGCTGGGATTACAGGTGTGAGCCACTGTGCCCGGCTGGGGATTGGAATTTTTAAGGATAGTTTGGTGGGTAGGGGCCAGTTAGTCATGAGTTCTGATTGGGCAGGTCAGAGATGAAATCACAGTGAGTCGAAGCTGTCCTCTTGTGCTGAGTCAGTTCCTGAGTGTGGGCCACAAGACCAGATTAGCTCAGTTTATCAATGGCGGGGGGGGGGGGGGGGGGGGGCGGGGGGCAGCTTATTCACTGAGTACAGCAAAATATCTCAAGAACTGATCTCAGGTTTTACAATAATGATGTTATCCCCAGGAGCAATTTGAGGAGGTTTAGAATCTTGCAGCCTCCAGCTGGATGACTCCTAAACCATAATTTCTAATCTTGCAGCTAATTTGTTAGTCCTGCCAAGGCACTCTAGTCCCCAGGCAGGAAGGGGGGTTTGTTTTGGGAAAGGGCTATTATCATCTTTGTTTCAAAGCTAAACCATAAACTGAGTTCCTCCCAAAATTAGTTTGGTGTACACTCAGGAATGAACAAGGACCTCTTGGAGGTTAGAAGCAAGATGGAATCAGGTCAGATCTCTTTCCCATAGAAATTGCCTCAGTTACAATTTTTGCAAAGGCAGTTTCAATTGCAGTACATGGTGCTCCATAGAGACTAAGCCAGGACAAGTGAGAGCCAGATGGGCACTGGGAGAAAAAACAACTAAATGTGGACAAAGGAGACCCTAAGAAGCTGAGAGGCAAAATGTTATCATGCATTCTTTGTGCAAGCTTGCCTGGAGGAGCAGAAGAAGAACCCAGACGCTTCAGTCAGATTCTCAGAGTTTACTAAGAAGTGATCAGAGATGCAGAAGTCCATATCTGCTAAAGGGAAAGGAAAATCTGAAGACATGCCAAAGGCAGACAAGTCCTGTTATAAAAGAGAAATGAAGGCCAGGCGCCGTGGCTCACGCCTGTAATCTCAGCACTTTGAGAGGCTGAGGCGGGTGGATAATGAGCTCAGGAGTTCAAGATCAGCCTGGCCAAGATGGTGAAACCCCGTCTCTATTAAAAATACGAAAAATTAGCTGGGCATGGTGGCAGGTGCCTGTAATCCCAGCTACTTGGGAGGCTGAGGCAGGAGAGTCGCTTGAACTCGGAGGGTGGAGGTTGCAGTGAGCCGAGATCACGCCACTGCACTCCAGCCTGGGCAACAGAGTGAGACTCCGTCTCAAAAAAAAAAAAAAAAAAAAAAAGAGAGAGAAATGAAAACCTATCTTCCTCCTAAGGGAGAAACAAATAAAAACTTCAGGAATTTCAGTGTGCACAAGATGATTCCTCAGGCATTTTTCTTATTCTATTCCATCACCCCAGAGTCAAAGGAAAACACCTGGACTATCCTTTGGGGATGTTGCAAAGAAGCTTGGAGAGAAGTGGAGTTGGCTTGAAAGGAAGCGGCTGAGGCAAAGTTAATATAAGTAGAGAGTTTATGTGGGCCAAGCTTGAGGACTGCAATCTGGGAGCACAGATTCAAGTTGTCCTAGATATACAGTCTGTTAAAAGTAGGTTTTTAAAGGAAAAGAAGACGAGCTTCTTAAGTTGTTTACCAAGAATTTACATTAAAATAACATAAGCTATTGATTGTCTATATATTGTTCTGTGTGTAGGAACATGAAGATAATTCAAATTCCAAGAACATGAAGATAACGGGTGAGGCAGATAGTCAGGAACAAGGAGTCTTTAAACAATTGCCCTCGGGCATGGGTGTAGAGGACATGACTAAAGTCTCATACTTATGTCTCTGTGGACCAGATGAATTTTGCATACTTCACATAGCTCAGAATGCTCTAAGCTATTTTTCTTTTCTCAGGAATAATAATACTGCTGCAGATAACAAGCAGCCTTAGGAAAAGAAGGCTGAGAAGCTGAAGGAAAAATACAAAAAGGAAATTACTGCATACCAAGCTAAAGGAAAGCCTGCCAAAAAGGGAGTCATCAAGGCTGAAGAAAGTAAGAAAATAGAAGGAAGATGAAGAGGAGGAGGAAGAAGATAGAAGATGAAAATGATGATGAATAAATTGGTTCTAGTCCAGTTTTTTTTTTCTTATCTATAAAGCATTTAACCCCTGTGTATACAACTCACTCATTTTAAGGGAAACAATTGAAATGTGTAAGATTTGTATTTAAACTATACAGTGTCTTCCGTTTGTATAGCCGACCCACTATCAAATTTGTCTTTAGATAGCCTTGATGGTATTTTCAACAGACTCTAACCTTGCCTGGTACAGTATGGGAGTTGTAAATTGGCATGGAAATTTAAAGCAGGTTCTTTGGTGCACAGCACAAATCAGTTACATGTAGGAATGATGGTTTCTTCATCTTCAGTTTGCTCTGATATGGCTTGTATGAAATAATTGTTTGTTAACTGAATAACACTCAGTAATTGCAAAAAAAGAAAAAAGAAGAAGAAGTTGCTGCTAATTTGTAACTGCCAATTGGTTCTTCTTGCCTACTGTCCAGATGAAACCAGTTTAACAAGACAGGGGAATTGCAATAGAGAAAGTTTAATACACGTAGACCCAGCTAAATGGGAGACCATAGTTTTATTATTACTCACATCAGCCTCCCCAAAAATTTGGAGGCTAGAGTTTTTTAAAGATAGTTTGGCAGGTGGGGGACTAGAGACTGGGTCCTGCTGATTGGTTGGGAATGTAATCATATGGGTGTGGGAAAATGGTCCTCACGTGCTGAGTCTGCTTCTGGCAGGGGACGTAGGACTAGCTGTCTTCAGTGGCAGGTCTGGATGGAGCCATCTCGTTATGAGAAATGCGAAAGTCTGAAAAGACATCTCAAAAGGCCAATCTTAGGTTCTAAAATAGTGATGTTATTTACAGGAGTAATTGAGGAATTTACAAATCTTGTGACCTCCAGAACAATGGCCGGTAATTGTTTAACTACGCCTGCATCTTAGCAAGATTCAGGCCACTCTCACAGTCCTAATCTTGTGGACTTTTATTAGTTTTACAAAGGCAGGTTAGTTTTGGGAAGGGCTCTTATCAGCTAAACCATAAACTAAATTCTTCCCAAAGTTAGCTTGGCCTACACCCGGGAATGAACAAGGATATCTTAGAAGCAAGATGGAATCAGCTATATCATAATTTAATTACTGTCATAATTTTGCAAAGGTGGTTTCAGTTTTGTTGACATTCTGAATGCTTCTAAGTAAATACAGTTTTTCATTAGTAAAAAAAAAATATGATTCCATTGAATCATGTGTGTGTGTGTGTGCGTGTGTATAGTGGAAGGGTGAAAGGTAGGAATGAGGAACAGTCCCCTAACTTTTTAGTCCCACCTCTACCATGGTGTTCTGTGCTTTTTTTACTCTTTTTCTCATTGTTTCATATATTCTGTCCAACTTTTTCTCTGCCCTGACTTTTTGTCAAGATCTTCCCTGCTTAATTTGGGCATTGTTTTTTGGTAATCTTTTAGAGACATTTTGATAATCTCCAACAATCATCTTACACTTCAAAGCTGATCTAAAAGATGGATGAGCAAAGATCTGCTCAAACTTTAGAAGAAGACATGGGCTGATCTCAGAGTACCTTAATTTCAGCAGCTCCACTATTTCAATGTAATTTTATCATTAATAACCAGCATTGTGATTAATATGTGCAGTTATACATGAAAGAGATTTTGAAGGAAATTGTAATGATTCTGAACACAAGAGGAAAAGTTATTGCTGATCTATTATTCATATCAGAGGAAACTGACTGCAAGTGTAAATATAAATAAGAATGTAGCAACAGTAAAGAATAACCTGAGGGCATGGACATGTTTTCAGGATATTTAATTCCAGATAAAATATGTAGAAAGAAAATATAATCATATAATCTGTATTAGTCAGGGTTCTCTAGAAAGATGGAACCAATAGGATAGAGACAGAGAGATAGAGATGAAGATAGAGATAGAGATAGATAGAGATAGAGATAGAGATAGAGATGATAGAGATAGGTAGAGATAGAGATAGGGATGGGGGAGGGATATGGGCAGGGATAGAGATAGAGATAGCTGAGATAGAGATAGAAATAGAGATAGAGACATAGAGATAGAGATAGAGATGATAAAGACAGAGCTAGGGATAGAGATAGAGATGTATGAGAAGGGATTTACTAGGGGAATGGGTTCATGTGATTATGGAGGCTAAAAAGTCACACAACAGACCATCTGCAAGCTGAAGACCCTGGGATAGGTCTAAATCCTAAAGCCTAAGAACCTGGGAAGCCAATGGTTTAACTCTCAGTCTGAGGCCAAAGGCCTGAAAACCCAGGAGGCCACTGTCATAAGTCCTGCAGTCCAAAGGCTGGAGTTCTGATGTCCAAGACCAAGTGTGTCCCAGCTCTGAGAGAGACAGAAAAGAATTCACCTTTCTTCTACCTCTAGCCAGGTCCCTAGCCAATTGGATGGGGCCCACCCACAGTGAGAGGGGATCTTTCCCATTCAGTCCACTAACTCACAGCCAATCTCCTCTGGAAACACCCTCACAGGCACACCCAAAAATGATGCTTTGCCAGTTCTCTAGATATTCCTTAATCCGGTAAAATTGACCTAAAATCAACTATCACATGATCTTACTGTACTGTATACCATGGGGCAATTGTAATTGTTTGTTCTTTAATTGTCAGTGTCACTCCCTTTAAAATTAGCCTACTCTCAGGAATTGCTATTCAGCAAATGGCTGTGAGAGAGACCAGAATACCACCTAATGGATGTGGGCATTTTCCATTTCAACAGATTCATTTTATTGAGTGGCTGCTTGGAGCTAGGTACTCTGATGGTTGTGGGGGACATGAAATGAACAAGGCAGACAAGGTCCCTACTCTCATGGCACTTGCATTCTAGCAGAGGAAGAAAATTAAAAGTGCACTATACAAATCAAATATATAAAGTAATAAATGCTATTGAGGAACATAAAACAGAATAACAGAGAACAAGTGCCTCTTTGGTGGGTATGAAGTGGTCTCTTAATATGAGACATTTCAACGGTGGTCCAAATAACAGGAAGAAGATAGCTGTAGGAAGATCAGGCAGAAGAAGATTCTTGACAGGAAGCAGTAGTGTGAAGGGGTAAGGCACAAAGTTGGCAAGTTTTCAGACTAGAAATTAGGACTCTGGCTGAAGCCAAGATAGAAAGGGGCCAAATATCTAGAGCTCTGTAACCTAGGCATGAAATTTGATTCTAAATGCAAATCAAATCTGTTGGAGGGTTTTAAGTAAGGAAGTGACACGATTACATTTACATTTTTAAAATATTCTGGCATAAGGATGGTCATATAGATCAATGGGACAGAATTGACAGTCAAGAAATAAATTCATATATCTATGCTCAATTCATTTTCAACAAGGGTGCCAGGACCACTCAATGAGGAAATAATTGTCTTTTCAACAAAAGATCCTGGGACAAGTGGATGTCCACATGCAAAAGAATGAAGTTCAACCCCTACCTCACACCATATACAAAAATTAATTCAACATGGATCAAACACCTAAATGTAAGTGCTAAAACTCTTAGAAGAAAACCTAGGGGTGAGTCTTTATAACCTGGAGTTTGGCAATGGATACTTTCCTTTTTTTATTTTTGTCTCAAACAACCTATATTTATTATCTGACAGTTCTGTAAGGCAGAAGTCCAACATGGGTCTCATGGGTGTCAGGTCAACTCAGGGCATGTGAGTGAAGTTATCCTAGACCATGCAGGCCCAGCTGAGCCTTTAGCTGATCTCAGCAGTCAGAAAGCTGACCCAAACCAGAGAAATTCCTAGCTGACCCATAGAATTGTAAGAACTTATGCATATTAATTATATTAAACACTGTTTTCTAATACCTTGTCATACAGCAAGAGCTAACAAATATGGGAGGTGACCTAGAAAGCTGTGACATGCTCATTGCCAAAGACGTGGAGGACAAAAAACTGGCTCCCTCTGAGGGCTTACACTACCAGACAGGACCTGCCATTTGCACAAAAGCACTGGGGCAGCCAACGGGTCACTGCACAATCACCATGGAGCAAGCAGATCCTCAGGACTTTAAAGGCTGCACAGATCACCAGCATCCAGATGAGATGCAGGAATGAGCCAGCAATGGCCGCTTCCTCCACCAGCCAGTGCTCCCTACATGAGACTCTTCTCATGCCTCCCTGAATTCTGTATGGCTAGGGCAGGGAACAGAGGAGAGGGAGGAGAGAGAGGCTTGCGGGGAGAGCAAGCCACATGATCTCCTCTGCCAGCAGCTCACTGCTGAAGACCAGGGCAGAGGATCATCACATCCAAGTAAACTAAGTATTTGCCTGAAAGGGGGTAAAGGTTTTAACTGTGAATCAGAATACTAGCCAAACTTATTGGGCAAGAGATCAAGTTTTCTTTCTGTTCCACTTTCAGGATCAGAAAAATAATCTGAAAAGGCAAAACTGATAGTAGTGGTTATTGTAGGGGCATGGGGGGAGGAAATCACATTTGCACATTACTGGATTAAAATTCCCCAATTCAGTCTGTTACAGTCTCTCATTCCTTTTTCTCTCCCTAATATTTGGAACTAGTGGCACGCCTGGCCTTTGGAGAATGGAGGAATGAATGTCTGAGTCTTTGCTCATGTCCTCTCCAGCTAGTCAGTCTGGTAATATTCTAGGAGTCCTCCATGATTTAACTGAAATTCCAGCCCTTTTCTAAGCTTTTCCAACACCCAAGGCTCAACTCTACCTCAACACTTAACCAAAGTGTTTTGTAATTGGCTGGATCAATGTCCATTTCTCCCACTGATTGGGGATTGAGATCTCTGCTGCCCCCACCCACAATCTCCATCCTCCGGGGACACAGGATACCATGCCAGCCCCAACCCCTCTCCCACAGCTTCAGGGATGTCAGACAAAGAGATAGCCTCTCCATCCATCAGCTTGGTGGCCCCAGATCTCAGAGCCAGAAGCTGTTCCAAGGTTGTAGGAAGTGGTGAAGCTTCAACAACTTGCTTCCTCCAGCCTGCAGGAGCCCCCACCCACAGCCCACCTCATTTCTGTGAGGTTTGTGTTTTGAGACCCACAGATTCTTCAAGGTGCTTTTTAAGATTTCCTACTCTCTGCTGGCAAATTGTTAATCAGTTTGTCGCAGCATAAATAAAATTAGAGAGTTTAATTAAAATGAATGAGTGAGTGGAGACCAGCCTGGCTGCTTTGCTCTTGAGCCTGAAATGAGTAAATAATGAATGTGTCACCAGCAAGTGATGTGCTTTAGCAGAAGTGTGAGGGCAGCAGAAAGGAGGCCGTAGAGAGCTCCTCCACCCATAGCAATTTGCAAGTTGGTGGAATCTCCATTTGGGTGTATCTTGTTAATAAATTCTGCAGGAACTGTTTCTGTTTTCTAGGCCTTCCAACAAAAGTGATGACAGGGCCACACACAGGATGCCCATTCTCTGGGCACCTCTTAATGTCATGGTCTTTGTGAAGGGGAACAGTGGACACACGGATGGGGCAGCACCATAGACATTTAGTGGACGGGATAAGGAATTCTAACATTCTCCATGTGTAAGATGCAGAAAGAGTTGTCTTACATCCCACAGGACTTTCAAATGCTTTCCCAGACATTCATGCAGGAGAGAAATGTTTTTATGATTATTTAGGCCTAGACCTGAACTCCATGTAACATAAAGTCCTTTTTGCACAGTTTTCTATGCAAGGCATTTTTCTAGAAATGCAACTACTGTGTGGAGTGAGGTAAGCTGGGACTGGCAGCACTTTTAAAACCACATCCCTGATGGAAACACCCCTCCTAGTGTTCACGTCTCTGGTATAGCACACTGTGACAGTCTGCATCCGAGACTGATGCAATGTGTTATAGCAGACATGGCCGCACTCGTGTTGACTCTACACACAGGTACAAACATCTTACTATTCACTTTGTCTTCAAGGCCAGGCCTGCCCGAATATTTACATGTTGAAATGAATATTCTTTTTTTTTTTTTTTTTTGAGACAGAGTCTCACTCTGTCACCCAGGCTGGAGTGCAGTGGCGCAATCTCGGCCCACTGCAACCTCCGCCTCCAGGGTTCAAGCAATTCTCCTGCCTCAGCCTCCCAAGTAGCTGGGATTACGGGTGCCTGCCACCCTGCCCAGCTGATTTTTGTATTTTTAGTAGAGATGGGGTTTCACCACGTTGGTCAGGCTGGTCTCGAACCCCTGACCTCGTGATCCACCTGCCTCAGCCTCCCAAAGCACTGGGATTACAGGCGTGAGCCACCACGCCTGGCCAATATTCTTTTATTATAAATTACTTTCCTTTTATTCAGTGAGGGCATTATACTGACTTTGGAAAAACTCTTTGTGTGTGTGTGTGTGTGTGTGTGTGTGTGTGTGTGTGTGTATGTGTGTGTTTAGGAGGTATTAAGAGATATTTGTTACAGAAATGGGTGCACTGGGCAGATGAGTTTGAGAGGATCCCTGCTCATGTCAACACATGGCCGGGAAAACTGCTGAGAGGATTTTGGATAATGTATTCTTCCACTGCTGCTCCTGTTCCCAGTCCCCATCAACCCCTCACTTCTCATTCAAGTCCTAGGAGATATCGAGAAGCCATGTCAGGGCCCCTGGAGCAGCTTGTCAGTCTGGGCACATGGGCCCAGTCTAAATCCTCCACCCAGCTGGCTGCCTGCTCCTATCCCCCATTCTGTGCCCCCGCACCCTCTCAAGGAAGCCCAAGAGTGTTCCTTACCAGGGTTTCCTGACTCTCCCACCTGCTGTTATGTCTGGGCTGGGTGGCCATGAAGGTAGGGGTCCAGGCCTGACCTGAACACAGAGGTAGCATGGTAGGGAGGATTCCTCATGTAAATCAAAGAAAATGACTGAAGTCAGTCTCAATCAATTCAGAAGTTTATTTTACCAAGGTTGAGGATGTGCCTGGGAATTGGAACAAAAATCACAGGAATATCTGTGATCCATGTTTTTTCCAAAGAGGGTTTGGAGGCTTCAGTATTGAAAGAGCAATGAGCAGACAGAGGAAAGAGAAAAAGGGGAGGGTAGATAAAAGAGCCAAATGGTTGCATTCTTGCCAGGCTTTGGTCAGCGTTCACAGAATCCACATTGCACATGTGAAAAGAGGGGGTAGAGGAACAGTCAACTATGCACTGGTCTTGTGCTCAGTGAATCTGCATTTTTTACATAAAATAAAGGAAATATAGAGTAAAAAATGCAGTCATATATGCCTTTGTCTCAGGTGGGCAGAGGGACAAACACAAGTCCTGTCTGTCCTGTACCTGTGAAGATAGGCTGTTGATTAAATTGTCAGAGTGAAATTCAACAGAAGTCGGTTTTAGGGTAAAGATCTTCGGCCCACAGGAATTTCCTTGTAAGCGAATTTTGAGGAGGCCCCTGGGGATGTGTGTGGCTTCTATCTTTGCAGCTATCCATTTAGGAAATGGGAGGCAGTTTTGCGTGACTCAGTTCCCAAGCCTAACTTTTCCCTTTGACATAGTGAGTCTGGGGTCCCGACACTTTTATTTTCTTTTCGCACAAGATGACCTGCAGGATTTCCCAGCCCCCGCCTCTGCCTTTCTTGTAACTGCATTCCAGTGGAACTTTCTCCCTCTGCCTGGTCCAGCTTCCCTCCCTTCCACACTGTACTGTTACCAAAAGCACTTCCCAATGAACTTCCTCTGCCTGAGAGTCTGTTTCCCAGGGAACATGACCTAAAACAAATGAGGCCAGGAGTAGTTCAAGAAAGTAGACTCTAAAATGGGATTTCAAGGTTGTATCGCCCACTGGTTGACACTGAGGATCCCATAACTGGGACAGGTGGAGTCAAGAGTCCCGAGCATGAAGAAGCAGGGCAACTATTAACACACATGCCATAAACTTGAACAGCATGAAATGGGCCATGAACAGCAGTGAAGGGATAATGCAGGCACAATGATTCAGGCACCATAAAGTAATTATTAAGCCAAACTGGTTGACCCTTACTGAGTGCCATTGATACATCGAAGAAAGACTTCAGAGTGATTGATTATCAATTAAAGGCATAGTGTGAAAGTCAGAGAGCCTTCTTGGCAACATAAAGAGATTCTCATCTCTTGCAGAAAAAAAGCTGAGATCAGGCCTGGGAGTTGACTCACTCTAAAAGTAGTAGAATTCTAAGGAAGTTGAATTCTCACCCCCAGCAAGTCTGCAGTTCCAAGACCAAAGCCTGAGATGGGAAGGAGTGAGACTGTGAGGGACAGGGACATCTGGGTCGATGCATTTAAGAACTTTGCCCCCTGAACTCTCTGGGTCTTCAGAAGTGGCCCACTCCTCTTTATTAAAGGCTAGAATTCTCCTTTGCTTAAAAATAGGGGGAGGCATCTGCCTTGCTACATAATATAGACCTCCTCAGGATCTCCCCCTACCCTCTCTCCTAATCACCAGACCAAGAACTAGTGTGAAAGCACAACATATATCCTGGCTATGAGTACTGAGTTGACCAAGAAAGAAAAGGAAATTTAAGACCTAGCCACCATATACCAACAGAAGCTGATAGTGTGGACAGGTGAACTGACTTGCAGAAAGGTATGGACATGAGGCAATAGAATATTGAATTCCTAAGAACAAGAGAGGAGGGAAGTCAGTGAAGGCATTGCTCAATCTATACAATCAAAAGAAAGTTAGGATGATGGGCAGAAGGCTGAGGAAAGCCACCTCAATAAAAGTCAAAATTTGTCTTAGTCATAGTGTGGTCTGCCATGATGGAGTACTGTAGACCAGGTAGATTAAACAACAGAAATGTATTTCTCACAGTTCTGAAGGCTTGGAAGTCCAAGATCATGGTGCTAGCAAGGTGGGTTTTATTCTGACTTCTCTTCTCTTGGCTTGCAGGCTGCCACCTCTCACTATGTGTTCACATGAACTCTTTTTGCATGAGTCGGGGAGAAAGTAAGAAGCTCTATGGTATTTCTTATTATAAGGGCACTAATCTCATCATGACAGCTCCACCCTCATGACCCCATCTAATGCTAATTACCTTCCAAAGATCCCGTTTCCGAATACCATCACATTTGGGTTAGGGCTTCAACATATGGCTTTGCGGGTAGAAGACACAAATGTCAAGCTCTAACATAAACTTTTGCCCAGTTTTTGGCCCTGAGACACTTTTGGGACCTGAAACCCATTGACTGAAAGAGAGGCCAGGTCCTCAGAAAGAAGGTCCCCCTGCAATCACACACGATCTCCCAGCTTTAAGGAACTATTATCTCGAGCGTTCTATGTCAGCCCCAGAAGTACAGGCTGTTCCTTGTATCTGCTACCACTGTGTTCTTTAGCATTCTCTTTAGTTTTTACTGCCCGATCTCTCCATTCCTCTGTTATAGTTAATAATTATTTATATTAAACTCCCTGCATTCTAATTATTGTGTGGTTTCTCTCTCCTGAGTGAGCCTTGACTGATACTGAATTGGTACCCCAAATGGTTTTATCTCCCCCCTCTAATTTGCATATATGTTACTAAGGCATCAAAAGAACTTGCTACTTCCTGCTCCTCAGATCTCATCAGCACAATGTTATCAATGCAGTGGGCTACTGTGATGTTTCATCAGATGTCAAGATTATCCAGACCTCTGTGAACTGTAATGTGGCAGACAGCAGCAGAATTGACTAGCTCTGAGGCAAGAGTGTGAAGGAGCATAGCTGAGCCTGACAGGTGAAAAGCAAACTGATTTGCTGGTGGTCCTCATAAATAAGTGTTGAGAAAAGGGTATCAGCTAGGTCGACAGCTGCATACCAAGTACTAGGAACACTTTTTCTAGTAAAGCTATACATTTGGGACAGCAGCTGAAATTGGAGTCACCATTTAAGTTTACAGCAATCCACAGTCATTCTCCAGATTCTTCTGACTTCTACACAGGCCTCACTGATGTATTAGATAGGGATGTGACAACTATCATTACCCCTACTCTTCTTAAGTCTTTTATAGTGACATCAATCTCTGCAATTCTCCCAAGGATATAATATGGCTTCTGGTTTACTAGAAGTTAGTTAGTTCTTAGGCATTCCAATCATAATTATCTTCATCTCATAGATCAGAGAGGCCACATAGTTGCCAAGTGTGTCTATCACCGTTATACATTCAAGAACTGAGGGCTTCATGTAGTGGCTCGTGCCTATAATCCAGGCATTTTGGGAGGCCGAGACTGCCTCAGCCCAGGAGTTTGAGACCAGCCTGGGCAACATGGTGAAACCCCATCTCTACAAAAAATACAAAACTTTAGCTGGGCAGGGTGGCACATGCCTGTAGTCCCAGCCACTCAGGAGGCTGAGGTGGGAGGATCACTTGAGCCCAGGGAGGTCAAGGCTGCAGTGAGCTGTGATCAATCCCACCACTACCCTCCAGTCTGAATAACAGAGCAAGACCCTGTCTCAAAAACAAAACAAAACAAAAAATGAACTGAGGAAATAACTGCAGACTTGGTCTGTAGACCACAGGGCCCACTGTGAGTCAGACCTGGGCTAAGATTCCATCCCCTGACACCATAAACCCCCACTCTGACTGGTGAGCCACTGTGGTATTTTGGCTCCTCAATAATCAGTGTCAACTCAGAGCCAATGTCATAATCTTGGAAAAGTCTGGGAGTTCTCTTCTCCCAAATGCAGTCACTCTAATAAACAGCTACAGGTCGCTTTGGAGAAGACTTAAAGTAAGATTTACAGTGGAAATTTGCAATAGTGATGCAGGGTCCCTCCTCAAGGGGCTTCTTTATTCAAGGGACACGCTAAGTACATAAATTGCCTTAGATCTAGAAATGGGGTGAGAAGCTGTGACTCAAGCCAGACTTTTAGCTACCAGACCTAGAGTTTTTCCTGTTATACAGATCAAACAATGTAGTGAGCTGTCCATCTATTTGATTCCTGGGAATGCCATATCAATTGACCACTGCCAAATATCTCTGTGGGTCAAGGCATTCTGACTGCCTGCATAGCCCTGCTGCCCTTTACAGTGAATGTGCCTCTGGCAGTTAGGTGCTGCCTCTTGGCCTATGATCCTCTGGGATTTCAACCTTATTGAAACCAGAGCCCATCTCAATGCAACATCCCCTACAGTCATATCTGCCCTGCAGAAGAAATCCACTGCAGAGCTGACCAAGGGTGCAGATGCTTTGCTCACTAATGCATTTCTCAATGCCTTAGTCAAGGGAGTGTCTTCTGGGCCTCCTGCTGGAACATAGGTTGGGGGTAGATACACATTTGCAAATGATAAATCCAGCCCAACACTCCTATCTCCATAGCCTTTGGAGTCCATTTATCGAATCATATTGGCCACTATTTTGTCCAAGTTTTAGTCAACCAACCAGGTAAGCCATTAGAATCACCTTCAGCTGCATGAGCAAACACACTAAATCCAGAATGTCCAATAAGAGCACCCATATTCACAATCAGGGCTGATCTAGTGTTAGATTCCACCCTCCTTGGTGTAACGCCCTTAGAATGCACTTCCACACATGCATCCTAGGCTTCTGACAATATACATTAACAAAACCTTATTCTTTCTGTGTGTAAGCTACTTCTTTTTGGGTCACTGTGTCTACCTGTTCTCTGGAGCATGCTGAGATTTGACACTAGTTATGGGTCTATGTGCATATGGTTTGATTGGGTCTTGAGGAGAAAGGGCATCCCCTTTCAAAGCATCTGCCTCAGGTGAGCTTATCACAAGATTCTCAAAGAAAAGGAAGGCTATTATTCTCAGACACCGGAGGGCAGGCTCCTTCCATGGGTAAAGGAATATCAGAGCGACTTGGAGGTCTAAGATTGTCAGTTTCTTCTGGGTTCAACCAGAAGCTCCCATTCAAAGTTTCAGAATCCCATTCTTTACCAATCAATGTTCTAAATTTCCAGTGCAATTCGGCAAAAAATTAAGTTGGTGTTTTATTTTCAGCATTATCAGTCCAGCTACCAAAAATAAGAGATTTTTTTAGGGCTCTCCAGTTTTCAGACTGTGACTCAAGCTGAGAGTAAACAGAACTGTGCTTCCCATTTTCTCTTTGTAAGTACCCAAGTGTGCTTAAGAAGAAAATCTGCCTCACATTGCAGTCCTCATAGTCATCATTACTGCCATCGCAGTGCAGTGCAGTGGCACTGGGGTTCCCAAGAGTCTTGCTTCTGCTCGTTCTTCATCACAATCAGCCATAGGTGACAGCTTGATTCAGTGTGGCACCGCCACATGCCATGGGTTTCTAGCATTCCACTGCCCATTGGCAAGGAGCTCAGAACTGCACTTAAGCCCAAGGGCCTGACCAAACCAATGCAAATTTCTGCCTGTGTGGCCTTTCTCCTGGGATAACTCCTGATATCCATTCTGTACCAGTGAGAATCCAGTCAGAAGAACAAAACCAGACAGTAATTTTATCAGGAAAAAATTCAACATAAAAAATTATTAATATATCAGAGGATGAGCGTGATGAAGGATTCTCTGGTAAAAAGTCAAGAGAACTTGAAATAACATCAGAATGGCAGCTATAAAGAGCAGCTACCACCCCTAGGGCTGAGATGAAGTTGCCAGAGAAGAGGTCCCTCAGGCTGAGATGCAGACCTTGTAGGAGAGGACATGGCCAAGGGTCACTGAATGGCAGAGAAGTCACAGTGGGGCTGCAGCTAGGAAGAAGAGCCTCATGGAGAGGACTTCCTGATAGAAGCTGCAACATGAGGCAAACTTGCACAGAGAGTAAAGACCCTGGCCTCTTTGAAGGAATATACCTCAAAATAATGAGCCATTTATGACAAACCCATAGCCAACATCATACTGAATGGGCAAAAGCTGGAAGCATTCCCCTTGAAAACCAGTACAAAACAAGGATGCTCTCTCTCACTACTCCTATTCAACATAGTATTGGAAGTCCTGGCCAGGGCAGTAGGGTAAGAGAAAAAAATAAAGGGCATCCAAACTGAAAGAGATGAATCCAAGCTAGACCTGTTTCCAGACAACATGATTCTATATCTAGAAAACCCCATATTCTCAGCCCAAAAGCTTCTTAAGCTGATAAAACAACTTCAGCAAGCCTCAGGATACAAAATTAATGTACAAAAATCACTAACATTCTTATACGGGACAGCAATGGTCAAGCCCAGAGCCACACCAGGAATGCAATCCCATTGACAACTGCCACACACACACACACACACACATACACAAATACACAAAGAAAAAAAAAACCTAGGAATACAGCTAACCAGGGAGGTGAAAGACCTCTACAGGGAGAACTACAAAACACTGCTCAAAAAAATCAGAGATGACACAAACAAACGGAAAAACATTCCATGCTCATGAATAGGAAGAATCAATATAGTAAAAAAGGCCATACTGCTCAAAGCAATTTATAGATTCAATGCTATTCCTATTAAACCACCATTGACATTCTTCACAGAACTAGAAAAAACTATTTTAAAATTCATATGGAACCCCAAAAGACTCCAAATAGCCAAGGCAATTCTGAACAAAAGGAACAAAGCTGGAGGCATCATATTACCCGACTTCGAACTATACTACAGGGATACGGTAACCAAAACAGCAGTTAGTGGTACAAAAACAGATACATAGGCCAATGGAACAGAATTGAGAACCCAGAAATAAGGCTGCACATCTACAACCATCTGATCTTTGACAAAGCTGACAAAAACAAGCAATGGGGAAAGGATTCCCTATTCAATAAATGGTGCTGGGATAACTGGCTAGCCATACGAAGAAGATGGAAACTGGACCCCTTCTTTACACCATATATAAAAATCAACTCGAGATGGATTAAACACTTAAATGTTAAGCCCGAAACTCTAAAAACCCTGTAAGGCGACCTAGGCAGTACCATTTAGGACATAGAAATGGGCAAAGATTTTATAACAAAGACACAAAAAGCAATTGCAACAAAAAGCAAAATTTAACAAATGGGATCTAATTAAACTTAAGAGCTTCTATACAGCAAAAGAAACTATCAACAGAGTGAACAGACAACCTACAGGATAGGAGAAAATTTTGGTAAACTATGCATCTGACAAAGGTCTAATATCCACATCTATAAGGAACTTAAACAAATTTACAAAAAAAAAAAACCTCAAGCAATCCTATTAAAAAGTGGGCAAAGGACACGAACAGACACTTTTCAAAAGAAGACATACATGTGGCCAACAAACATATGAAAAAAAGCTCAACTTCACTGATCCTTAGAGAAATGCAAATCAAAACCACAATGAGATACAATCTCACACAAGTCAGAATGGCTATTATTAAAAAGGCAAAAAATAACAGATGCTGGTGAGGTTGAGGAGAAAAAGGAACACTTATATACTGTTGGTGGGAGTGTAAATTACTTCAACCATTGTAGAAGAGTGACCCATTTGTAGAAGAGTGACCCATTGTAGAAGAGTGACCCAACGATATAAATCGTTCTATTATAAAGGCACATGCACACACATGTTCATTGCAGCAGTATTGACACAATAGCAAAGACATTGAATCAACCTAAATGCCTATCAGTGATAGACTAGATAAAGAAAATGTGGTACATATACACCATGGAATACTATGCAGCCATTAAAAGAAACCAGATCATGTCCTTTGCAGGAACATGGATGAAGCTGGAGGCCATTATCCTTAGCAAACTAACACAGGAACAGAAAACCAAATACAGCATGTTCTCACTTATAAGTGGAAACTAGATGATGAGAACACATGGACACAGAGAGGGGAACAACAGACCCACTGGGATCTATTAGAAGGTGGAGGGTGGGAGGAGGGAGAGGATAAGGAAAAATAACTAATGGGTACTAAGCTTAATACCTGGGTGATGAATAATTGCACAACAAACCCCCATGACACAAGTTTACCTATATAACAAACCTGCAAATGTACCCCTGAACTTGAAATAAATTTTTTTAAAAGACCCTGAACTGGCTCTTTCCTTCATGTTATCTCCCATTGGGGGTGGCCATTGGCCAAAACTTACTTGCTGTGGGTTTGACCCTCTGGGCTCTTGGTTCAGCCCTCATCATTCATCCTTTGTTGTGAAAGGTAGCACAGCTGACAGCAGTTGACCCTTGAGCAATTTTGGGGGTGGGACACAGGCCTCCCACACAGTCCAAAATCCATGTATAATTTTGGCTCCTCCCAAACTTAACTACTAGTAGCTTATTGGCTGGAAGCCTTACTGGTCATGTAAACAGTTGATTAACACAACTGTTTTGTATGTTATATGTATTATATACTATATTCTTACAATAAAATAAGCTATAGAAAAGAAAATGTTATTAAGAAGATCATAAGGAAGAGAAAATATATTTACTATTCACTAAGCAGAAGTGGATCATTATAAAGGTCTCCATCCTTACTGTCTTCACATTGATTAAGCAGGGGGAAGTAGAGGAGAAAGAGGAAGGGTTGGTCTTGTCTCAGAGGTGGCAGAAGTGGAAGAGGTGGAGGAGGTAGAAGGGGGAGCAGGAGAGGCGGGGACACTCAAAGTAAGTTTTATTGAAAAAAATCTGGGTGTAAGTGGACCCACACAATTCAAACCTACATTGTTCAAGGATCAGCTGCAGTTTTCTCACCCTGTTTCCTGCCAGGAGAGTCTCAGGTGTTCAGCAGGCATCTTTCATTTTGCACTCTCTGTCTTTTAGGACTCTTTTAGTCCAAGCTGGTAGTGTTTCTGCCAAAATAATTTTCTTAAGAATTTCATGGTCTTGTGTATTACATTAGGGTTCCTTCCATTAGACAAAACCCACACCCACACATTGTTTGACGATGATCTCTTCTCTGTTTTTGTCTCCTGCTGAGATAGCTAAGTACAACACCCTTAAGCCTAGAAGCCCTCTGGTTTGGCCCAGAAGATCCGTGAGGCACACCCTTAACCTCAACTTGAAAAACCCCCTTGCATGACTGAATATTCTGACCTTTTGGTGTTTCTGAGGTTTTAGTAAAAGTGTGTGCAGTCACACCCTTGGCTTTTTACTCTCTGCCAGACTTTCACATGCAATCTTTTCTCTTTAGCATTTTTGCCAGCTGGATAAAGTGAGAATTTCCCAAATCATCAAGAACAAAGTTTTTTGTTTCACCATTCCCTCAATTTATCTCTTTTTTTTCTGGCATTTTACTGTAAGCAGCAAGAAGGAACCAGACTGCACTTCAATAGTTCCGTTGGACATCTCCTCAGCTAAATATCCAAGTTTATCACTTACAAGTTTCACTTTCCAAAGAACTGGAGTAGACAACTCGGCTAAGTTTACTTCCACTTCATAACTAGGATTCCTTTCCTCCCAATTTCCAATAAAGTGTTTCTCACTTCCTTATGGCTCTCACTGGCAGCACCCTTAAAGACCAGATTTCTACTAGGTTTGTTCAAAGTGACTTAAGTTTTCTCCATCATGATCTTCAAAATTCTCCTCAAATTCTCTTCAGCCTCTGCCCACTCTCAGTTCCAGAATCACTCCCACATTTTTGGTGTAATTGCCTGACAGGTTCTTCTTGCCCACTGCACATAAAGAGCTGATTCACTGAGACAGAAGTATTGCAACAGAGGAAGAATTTAATAAACACAGGGCTAGCCAAGCAGAAGACGGGAGTTATTACTCAAATCAGCCTCCCACAGAGCTCAGAGGCCAGGGCTTCTCTAGGATAGTTTGGCAGGAAGGGGGCTAGGGAATGGGAAATGATGATTGGTTGGGTCAGGCATGAAATCATGGGGGGGTCAAACCTGTCTCCTTGCACTGAGGCAGCTCCTGGATTGGGGGCTGGGCACGTCACAAAAGAGTTAAATTCGTTCCATGGTATGAGTCACAAGTCCAGGTGGAGTCACCAGAATGCAAAAGTCTGAAAAATATCTCAAAGATCAACCTTAGGTTTTGATAACAGTGATGTTATCTACAGGAGCAATTGGAGAAGTTACAAGTCTTGTGACCTCTGGCTACATGACTCCTAAGTCATAATCCTACAAAGACAGGAGGGGTTTCATTTCTGGAAAGAACTGTTAGTTTCTGAAAAGAACTGTTATCACCTTTTTCACTAAATGCCTCCCATAGTTAGTTTGAGTTATGCCCAGGAATGAGCAAAGACAGCTTGTAAGATTAGAAGCAAGATGGAGTAGGCTATGTAAGATTTCTCTCACTGTCATAATTTTTGCAAAGGTGGCTTCAGCAGTGCCCCACTCTATAGTACCAAAATCTGTCTTAGGTTTCTATTGCTGCACAACAAAGTGTCATGAATTTAGCCACTTAACATAACCATTTATCAGCTCGTGGCTTTGTAGGTCAGAAGTCCAGGCACAGCGTGACTGGGCTCTCTGCTCAGGGTCTCACAAAGTTAAAATCAAGGCATTGGCCATCACTGCATCCTCATCTGCGCCCAGGACCCCTTTCCAAGGTCATGTGGTGGTGGCAGAACTCAGTTCCTTGCAGCTGTGGGATGGAGGTCCCCTTTCTTTGCTGGCTGTCAGCTGAGAGATACTCTAAGTCCTAGAGGTCATTTGTGTTCCTTACCACATCCCCTCCTCCCCATCTTTAAAGCCAGTAATGCAGAATCTCTCTCATGTCAAATCCTTCTCACACTTCAAATCTCTTTCATCAAGAAGAGTCCAATCCCTTTTAAGGACCCACCTGATTGGGTCTGGCCTGCCCAAAATCATCTCCCTCTCCTTAGGTCAATTTCTTCGGGATCTTAATAACATCTACAACACCCCTTTGCCATATAATTTAACATAATCATGGGAGTCAGATTATGTTTAGAAGTTCTGCCCATATTCAAAAGCAGGTGATCACACAAGGGCGAGAGTCACTGGCGATTATCTTAGAATTCAGCCTACCACCAGCACCTACCCCACAGAGTTGTTGTAAGGACTAAATAAGTTGATATATATGAAACTCTTAGGACAATGGCTGGAACATAGCTGTTGTCAAGTGTTGGCTCTTATTATTGTTGTTGCTGTTAAACACAGATTCCCAGGCCCCCTTCAGACCACTGGAACCAGAATCCTAGGGGTGAGTCAGGAAGGAGGCTGTCTCTCTAGCTCCTTGGGGACTTGGTGCCCACTGAGATGTGGCCTCTAGGATCCAGACCAGGTGGCACATGCCTTATAACTCTGCCTTCCTGGAGAAGCGCCTCTCAGCCTCTGCTGCTCATCCTCAGCATGCTCCCTCAGTGTGGCTGATGTTGCTTCTCCTTACATTTCCCTCCACCCCCTCGTTATTTCCCTGCTATCAGCTCGGCCTGTCTTGCTTACCAGAATAACTGTCATGGCGTCCAATGGTAATGTTTTTTCCAAAAGTCACAGTTTCACATTATCCACTTGAGAAATGTGGTATTTTATTTGTGGTTGGCTGTTCTAGCCTAGGGGTCAACAGAGAAGGGTGCAGGTAGAAAGCAGGAGCCAGGGTGCAGAAATCAGCAAGTATCCCAGGAAAAATCCCAGTAGAACAGAACAATATTCAAGAAAAGAATGCAAAACTTTCTCAAACATTTAACACCTTGGGATCACGGCTCTAATCAAAAAATTTTAAATCCTCATTGGGGATGAGGGCTGGGAATCACAGCCAGTGTGGTATGTGTTCTTTTCTGACTGACAAAGGAATCTGAGGCCTTTGGTCCAGCAGAGAAAATGCCGGGCTCAGCGAGTTTCCACAGTGGAAGCAATTTGGAAGTGGTTTGGAGATCAATTCCCTGCCCAAAAGGTCTAAACAAACCCAAACCAGGGCTTTTTACACAAATGATTAGAAATGAAAGCAAAATTTTCATCAAAGCAAAGGTGTGCATGCAAGATATTGGCCCCTTGGTGTCATTTGAAGGAAATTAATGTGGAGGGCCAAAGAGATGGAGTCTGCAATATGCAATGCTCCAGAGACCTGCCTGTGAGTTTGTTCCTAGTGTAGCAGAAATAAATGCTCCCAGCAAACCTTCAGGGAGAAACGAGACATGTGCATAAGTAAGATTAATCAGTAAAGCTAGCATCCACCTAATGAGTCATCTTTGACATCATAAAACTTGAAAAATACAAGGTTGTGGCCTGTCAGATCTCTGTACTCTCAGCAAAAGCAAAACAGTCCTGCCTTAGTGCACAGCTCAAGTGGCTCTTGAGCACACTGGGCTCAGCAGAGAGGAAATGATAGAAAAATGGCTGCATTCTGGGTTTTATTGACTTAACGTGTGAGGAGACAGGATGGAGTGCTGAGGTAAAGAAAAATGAAGGTGTAGGGCTCATGCACCTTCACCCTTCAGGAAGCCTCCTTCTTTCTATCCCAAAGAAGCCCCCAGGGGGACTGTGTTTCCGTCTGAACAAACCATCCCTCGGGGTTTTTCTGGAACACAGCTCCAACTTCCAGGAGGCTAGGAGCAGAAGGGGTGCAGAGCATCCCACACACACCAGGCTGCTCCACCTTTAGATGCAGGTCTAGCACTGGTGCGTTCAGGGCCTGCTTGCTCCGGAGGCTGCTCTGCGTCCTTGCACATCACATTTTCATCTCGTGCCTTGGTAGTTCTGCATTCTTTGTATTATTCCCACTTTTCAGATGGACAAGCTGAAGTTCTAAGTCATGCAGCAGGTACTATGTGAAGCTGAGATTCTGGGCTCAGATGTTGGCTCTTAGCAGAACCTCCATGAGGTGAGATCTTTAGAAGTTTCTGGGCCCACAGAAGAATGTTGGAACGGCCTTCCGTCCACCCATGCTGCCAGTTCTCTGCCCCATCTGTTATCAGGTCTTGCGAGCCAGCCCCCAGCTGGAATCAGCTCTGCTTCTCTGCCATCTACCCAAACCTGCTCATATACCTCTTTTACTGCCCTTGTACCTGAACATCTCTTCATGTCCCTGAAGAGATCTAGGTTTCTGCCACCTAGCCATCAAAACGCAAATCTCTAATCCTGGGAAATCAGATGGTTACAAGCAAGTCAGACTGTGGCTGCCTGACCATACACTCCCCTGGAACTTCCCAGTTTTGAAACCTTTCTTTAAACATTTGGGATGCTGAAACCCACCTTCCCCTGATTGACCGATTCCATCCAGATGGGCGACAGCAGGCCCCAAGAGCCCTAAACAGTTCCTCCGTGGTTAGAGCCTTATGAAAGAACATCTGGGCCCCTCTGCTGTGCACAGCCAGATTCCATGGGAGCAGCGTCCTCCCTGCAGCGACCATACCACCTGGCACCACTGCTGGCCTGCAACCTGCACCCAGAACACACAAGCCTCAGGCAGCTGGCTGCCTGGCTTATTCCACAAGACTCACTGGCAGCATCCCACAGCCTGGACACACAGCACCCTGCCCCGAGTGGCTGATCCTGACAGCCTTCAGCAAGGGGAAGATCAGGCCCTCCCTCTCAGGCCATTGACGTGCTTCCGGTGTAGCACTCAGGGAACTAGAGGTGAGGTTTCTGGGACTCTTCCTCATTATAGCCATTGAGTGTGCATCTGGCAACACACTTGGACGGGTGCCCTGGTGTTACTGGTGGGAGGTGTCTAGGTTCTTGGTGTTTTGAACAAAGAATTGGACAAAATGCACAAAGCAAGGACAGAACGAAGCAACAAAAGCAGAGATTTATTGAAAATGAAAGTATACTCCACAGGGTGGGAGTGGTCCTGAGTACAGAGGATCAAGCGTGCCTTTACAGAATTTTCTGGGATTTAAATACCCTCCAGAGGTTTCCCATTGGTTACTTGGTGTATACCCTAGATAAATGAAATAGTGGCCTGCAATCACTATGATTGGCTGTGGAAAGCAACCAATCAGAGACTGAAGTGAAATTACAAAGTTACACTCCTATGCAAATGTCTGATCAGTTGAAGAAAGCAAATGCCTATAGTCCCAGCTACTCGGAATGGCTTGAGCCTGGGAGGTTGAGGCTGCAGTGAGCCCTGTAGAAAGCAACCGATCAGACTTACTTTCAATTTTCCATCTCCCACGCAGAAAAAGAGTGGGGTGGAGCAGGGGCAGGTTGCAAAGGGCATAGCCTCCAGTCCTTTTGTTACTTAGGCGTGAAAAGTTTTGGTTTTCCTTTTTATTTAGTTCTAGGAAGTCAGCGTGAATTGGCCTTAGGTCCCCTGCCTCCAGACCCTATTCTTCTGCCTCACTGGCTCAGTCCCAGAGTCTTGTGCATCCCTATGAGCTAGTTAATCTATCTGAGCCTTGTTTCCGAATCCTTCACTCATTCAATGAGCATTTACTGTGCCTACCATGGGCCTGCACTGTTCTAGCCACTGAGGATATAGCAGCAAAGAACAAAGATGCAATCTCTGTTTTCTTGGCACATATATTTTAGTAGAGAAAGAAAAATGATAAATGAGTAAGCAAATAAATAAATGCAACATAGTCAGACAGTGACAAATGCCTTGAGCAAAAGAGGAGAGTTCTGTGACAGAGGAACTGTGGCTGGTCAGATGAGGGGGACTTGGTTAGAGCGGCCAGGGAAGGTGGCTCTGAGGAGTGGTCTTTGAGGTGAGGCCTGGTCACCAAGAGGAAGCCAGCGTGGGAAGACCTAGAGTGAGGTGCGAGGAGCGAGAAGCAGAGGTCAGAGGGACTTGGGTTCAAGGACCAGAAGAGGGTGAATGGACAGAGCGGGTGGGAATGATCCGAGGCCGATCTGGGGCCGAGATGTGAGTCAGGCTGGATTGCGCAGGGCCAGGGCCTGCAAGGTCCCTGTTTAAACTGCATTCTAGTCTTACTACAAAACCACTGGATGGTTTTCGGTAAGAAAACCTATACGGTAAACCCCTGTAGCATGTTACTGTATTTAATACTGTAAGCAACTATAGCACATGGTACGTATCTGTGTAACTAAACATGAAAAGATACAGTAAAAACACAGTAAAAAGATACAAAATGGCACACCTGGATAGGACACTTACTGTGAATGGAGCTTGCAAGACTGGAAGTTGGTCTGAATGGGTTAGTGAGTAGTGAGTGAATGTGAAGACCTAGGTGTTATTGTATACCATAAACTTTACAAACACTGTACACTTAAACTACACTAGATTTCCTTCACATTTTTTTGCTTCAATAATAAATTAACTTTAGTTTATGTCAACTTTTTTGCTTTATAAACTTTAAATTTTTAAGAAACTTTGATTTTTGTAATAACACTTAGCTTAAAACACAAACACAGCCGGGGCAGTGGCCTTTGTATTTGATCATGCTTGCAATCCTAGCACTTTGGGAGGCTAGAGTGGGTGGCTTGAGCCCAGGAGTTTGAGATCACCCTGGCCAACATAGTGAAACTCTGTCTCTACAAAATATACATAATTAGCTGGGCGTGGTGGCAAATGCCTATAATCCCAGCTACTTGGGATGGCTTGAGCCTGGGAGGTTGAGGCTGCTGTGAGCCCTGATACTGCCAGCCTGGGCAACAGAGCGAGACCCTGTCTCAAAAAAAAAAAAAAAACCACTTTGTATACCTGTACAGAAATATTTTCTTTCTTTATATTTTTATTCTATAAGCATTTATCTATTTTTAATTTTTTTGTTTTACTTTTTAAATGTTTTTATTAAAAGTGAAGAAACAAACACACACGGCAGCCTAAGCCTACGCGGGGTCAGGATCATCAATATCACCGTCTTCCACCTCTACATCATGTCCTACCAGACAGTCTTCCGGGGTAGTAACACACCTGGAGGTTTCGTCTCCTATGATGACAAGGCCTTCTTCTAGAGTACCTCCAGAAGGCCCTGCCTGAGGCCATTTTACATTTAACTGGTTTTTTTTTTTTAAGTAGAAGTACATTCTAAAATAATGATTATAGTACAGTAAGTACATAAACCAGTAACACAGTTGTTTATTATCATTATCAAGTATAAGGTACTGTACATAATTCTGTAATCCTTTTTTTTTTTTTGAGATGGGGTCTTGCTGGGGAATGCAATGGTGCAATCATAGCTCACTGCACTCTCCAATTCCTAGGTTTAACCAATCCTCCCACGTCAGCCTCCTGAGTAGCTGAGACTATAAGCATGTACCACCATGCCTGGCTAATTTTTTTTCCTTTTATAAAAATGGGGTCTCACTGTGTTGCCCAGGCTGGTCTCAAACTCCTGGCCTTAAGCAATCCTCCCACCTCAGCCTCCCAAAACGTTGGCATTACAGGCATGAGGCACTGTACCTGGCCCTGTTCAATACTTTTATACGACTGGCAGCACAGCAGGTTTATTTACACAAGCATCACCATAAACGTGCAAGCAATACGTTGCGCTATGAAGTTATCACAGCTACGATGTCACTAGGCAATAGGAATTTTTCAGGTCCATTATAATCTTATGGGACCACTGTCATCTGTGTGGTCCCTCATGGACCAAGACATCATCATGTGACACGTGACTGTATGTGGATGGCACATGAATCACGAGACCAGATAAGAGTACCTTGAGGCGACGTGTAAAGGGAGAAGACAGGCCAAGCTCTGGGGCCTCTACCATGGAGAGGACAAGCACAAGCAACCACCAAAGGAGACTGAGAAAGAACAGGCCACTGGGGTAGGAGGAAAACTGGGAATGAGAGAACGCACGAAAACCAAGAAAGGAGATGTGTCAAGAAGCAGGGAGGGGTTTGATGTGTTTATCCCACACACTGCCTAGGACCACTTTAAAAACTAAACAAAGTAAGAGCTCCTATGGGGCATGATGGGGCATGCCCTCTGCGCCACCATTATTATTATTCAAAGTTAGTGGCTGGGCTCGTGGCTCACACCTGTAATCACAGCACTTTGGGATGCCAAGGCAGAAGGATCACCTGAGGTCAGGAGTTCAAGACCAGCCTGGCCAACATGGTGAAACCCTGTCTCTACTAAAAATACAAAAATTAGCCAGGCATGGTGGCATGTGCCTGCAATCCCAGCTACTTGGGAGGCTGAGGCACAAGAATTGCTTGAACCCAGGAGGCAGAGGTTGCAGTGAGCCGAGATTGTACCACTGCACTCCAGCCTGGGTGACTGAGCAAGACTCCGTCTCAAAAAAAAAAAAAAAAAAAACCACAGTGGGCCTTCAGGGCCCACTGTTCTCATGAAGCTCTGTTCCACTGTGGGCCTTTCTGTTCCAAATTGCTGGCGACCTTTTTTTTCTTTCTTTCTTTTTTTTTAGAGACAGCATCTTTCTCTGTCACCCAGGCTGGAGTGAAGTAAGCATGATCACCTCTCACTACAGCCTTGAACTCCTGGGCTCAAGTGATCCTCCTGTCTCAGCCTCCCAAGTAGCTGGGTCTGCAGGCACACGCCACCATGCTTGGCTAATTTTATTTTAATTTTTGTAGAGATGGGGTCTCACTGTGTTGCCCAGGCTTGTCTAGAACTTGAGGCCTCAAGCAGTGCTCCCTCCTCGGCCTCTGAAAGCACTGGGATTGCAGGCATGAGTGACCGTGCTCCAATTGCCAGTGACTTTTAACAAAAGAAAGAGCAATATGGCATCATTTCTCTCATGAAATCTAATTGGAATTGCAGAATACCAAGAAAATTCTAATGAAGTTCTAGAAGGATCAAATGGGAGAAGAAAATGAAGAAAAAGAAGAAAAAGTTTACAAACATCATGCCTGAGGGCAAGAATTTTCCCTAAGGATGCAGAAAACCGGTTGCCAGAGGAAGTGCAGAGGATCATCCCAACCTCATGAGGACATCAGACCCCAACATCACCTAGTTAGTCCTGGCTGCACATTGGATGATAAAAGGGATTATCTTATAAAGTAGTGGTTCAGCAGAAAGAACTGAGTAACTTTGGGTTTATTTATGAAAGAGCAGGCAGTATGAAACCATTGTTTCAAAAGGTAAAACAATCCAGTCATTTCTAAACATCTCTATGCTTCTCCATGTCTTGAACAAGCCACAGTTAAACAGAGCTGCATGACAATGATGAGCTTCTCTGGTACTTGACTCTGCATGTTGTGTGTGTGTGTGTGTGTATGTGTGTGTGTGTGTGTGAGAGAGAGAGAGAGAAAAAGAGAGAGACAGAGAGAGAGAAAGGTACAGAGATTCCCATATAACCCCTTCCCCAACACATGTACAGCCTTTCCCTTGTCAACATCTTCCCCCACCATTTATTGTAATTGATAAATGGCAGTGACACATCATTGTCACCCAAAATCCACAGTTTACATCAGGGTTCACGCTTGGTGTTATATATTCTATGGGTTTTTGTAAGTGTATAATGGCATGTACCCATCATTACAGTGTCACATAGTGACACAGAGTTATATCACTACCCTGAAAATCCTCTGTGCTCTGCCTGTTCATCCTTCCCTGCCACCAACCCCTAGCAACCACCAAACTTTTTACTATCTCCACAGTTTTGCCTTTTTCTGAGCATCATATGAACGGAATCATACAGTATGTAGCCTTTTCAGAGTGGCTTCTTTCTCTTAGTAATATGCATTTGAGATTTCTCTATGTCTTTTCATGACTTGATAGCTCATTTCTTCTTAGTGCTAAATAATATTCCATTGTCTGGATGTACCACAGCTAATCCATCCACCTACTGAAGGACATCTTGATTGCTTCCAATTTATAAATAAAACTGCTATGAACATCCATGTGGTAATGCTTTTTCAACTCCTTTGGGTGAATAGAATACGAAGGAGCACAGTTACTGGGTTGTCTGGTATATTTAGCTTTGTGAGACACCACCAAGCTGGGCCTGGCACAGTAACTCATGCCTGTAACCCCAGCGTTTGGGGAGGCTAAGGTGAGGGGAAGGCTTGAGGCCAGGAGTTTGAGAGCAGCCTGAAATTAAATTTTTTTTTCAAAAAGGAAACCACCTGTCTTAAGCCATTCTTGTATTGCTGTAAAGAAATGCCTGAGGCTGGGTAATTTGTAAAGAAAAGAGGTTTTAATTGGCTCACAGTTCTGCAGCTGTACAGGAAGCACCACCTACTGGCACCATCATTTGCTTAGCTTCTGGGGAGGCCTCAGGGAGCTTTTACTCATGGTCGAAAGCAAAGCTGGAGCAGCCCCTTCACATAGTCAGAGCAGGAGCAAGAGAGGGGGGGGTGGGGGAGGTGCCACATACTTTTAAACAACCAGATCTCATGAGTGCTCACTTACTATCACAAGGACACCACCAAGCCACAAGCGATTCACCCTCATGGTCCAAATACCTCCCACCAGGCCCCACCTCCAACACTGGGGTTTACAACTCAACATGAGATTTGGGCGGGACATATATCCAAACTATATCACAAACAAACTGCCTTCCAAAGTGCCTGCTCTGGCTGGGCATGGTGGTTCATACCTGTAATCCCAGCAATTCAGGAGGCCGAGGCAGGCAGATCACTTGAGGTCAATTCGAGAATAGCCTGGCCAACATGCTGAAATCCTGTCTGTACTAAAAATACAAAAATTAGCCCGGCGTGGTGGCACAAGCCAGTAATCCCA
Source organism: Homo sapiens (assembly GCF_000001405.40). Taxonomy (NCBI): domain Eukaryota; kingdom Metazoa; phylum Chordata; class Mammalia; order Primates; family Hominidae; genus Homo; species Homo sapiens. The sequence continues at coordinate 49,578,940 of NC_000010.11, forward strand.
GCTACTGAGGCAGGAGAATTGCTTGAACCTGGGAGGCGGAGGTTGCGGTGAGCCAAGATTGCACCACTGCACTCCAGCCTGGGAGACAGAGCAAGACTCTGTCTCAAAAAAAAAAAAAAAGAAAAACAAAGTGATTGTTCCATGTTGCATCCCTACCTGCAACGAATGAGAGTTCCTGTTGATCCACCTCCTCACCAGCATTGGGTGTTGCTATGTTCTGAAGATTTGCCGTTCTAGTAGGTGCATAGTAGTCAAAACCAGATTTTGAAATGAAGTAACAAGGAACATATTTACCCTCCCACTTGGAACAATAAAAGATCCAGTCAAAATATATGAAACCACGGACTTCAACACATTGGACATCAGGCAATGAAGGACGGGAATTCCCGAAAGACGGGGAAAATGAGGTGAACACTAGGTTCCTCAGCTCAGAACCTTGAGAGAGTTTCTAGCCTGCCGGGGGTGGGGCGGGGTGGAGGGCGCGCCAAGTAGAACTGGAAGACTGGTTTGAGAACATGGAGCTGAGAGCCTGGAGCAACTAAGCTAGAGTTCATAGGACAGAGAGCCAAAGAAGAGAGCACTGAAGAGAGCAAAGAGAGAGGTTTAGAGCATTTAGCAGAGTACTGATCGGCATGTGTGTGTAAGGAAATTACCCAGCTATGGGGAAAGAATTATCCAAAATGATAAGAAGGAGCAATGCCCCCTGCTCACGCTGAGACAGGAATAGTGCCTTTTCCTACCAGGCCAACTGGAAAACCTCATGCTTTCACAGTAGGAGACTCAGGAACGTCTTGCCTCAGTAGTGCAAAATAATCAGACTGAGACTGGGCACTGAGCCACACCCACCAAACAAATCATAAATCAAGACTTAAAAGATCAAGCTGACTCTGAATTAACTGCATTCCAGAACAAAGCTCTAGAAGATTTATAGGAATGGAAAATATTCAGCATCCAGTAAGGCAAACTCTCTTTTTTGACATCCAAAAAAAAAAAAAGAAAGGATTACCAGGCATTCACAGAGGCAGGAAAACATGACCATAATTAGAATAAGGAAGTTATTTTTTAAAAAGACCCAAGTGAAATTCCTGAGATGAAAACTACTTTCATGGGATTAATGGCTGGGATTAATGGCAGAATAGGCACTGTAGAAGAAAAGATTATTGAACTTAAAAACACTGTAATAAAAACTCCCCAAAATGAAGAGAAAAATAAATTTTAAAAATAAAAAGAATATCAGTGAGTTTTAGGACAACTTTAAGCATCTTAATAAATGTGTAACTGGAGTCTCTGAAAGGGCAGGGTCAGGCAGAAAATATTTGAGAAATAATGGCTGAAAAGATTCCAAAGCTGATGAAAACTATGAATGCACAGATTCATGAAGCTCGCCAAACCCCAAGCTTAAGAAACATGAAGAAAACTACACCAAGGCATATTATAATTGAATTGCTTGCAGTGAGCCCAGATCACGCCACTGCACTCCAGCCTGAGCGACAGAGCGAGACTCCATCTCAAAAAAACAAAAAAAACAGTGATAAAGAGAAGATCTTAAAAGCAACCAGAAGAAAAAGACATGGTATGTACAGAGAACAAAGATAAGGACAACTGTAGTTTTCTCTTTGGAAACGGTGCAAGCAGAAACACAGTGGAAATATCTTTAAGCACTGATAGAAAAAAATAATAATTTCAATTTCTAAACGCCCCCACAAATCTTTCCAAAAGAAAGGTGACATAAAGACTTTTCCAACATATGAAAGCTGAAAGAATTCATCATGAGTAGACACAAACTGCAAGAAACAGTAATGGAAATTCTTCAAGCAGAAGTAAAATTATACCAAAGAGAAATCTGGATATACACAAAGAACTGAAGAGCACCAGAAATAGTGACTACATGAATAAATGTGTAAGACTTTTTTACTATTTAATTTGCTTTAAAATATAAATTGTTTAAACAAAATAATGACAATGTATTGTGTAAAATGTGACAACAACATAAAGGCCAGAGGGAGAGAGTACCATAGAAGAATCTTAGACTATATGTCAGAGTTTCTCAAACACAGCACCATTGACATTTTGGGCCAGATAATTTTCCACTGTGAAAAACTATCCTGTGCATCGTAGGATTTTAGCAGGATCCCTGGCTTCTACCCACTAAAGGCCCCTAGTCCCTGCATATCGTCAATAATCCTCTGGAAGACAAAATTGTTCCCAGCTGAAAATCAATGCTATATGTGGAAAGGTTTAATATCACTTGACAATAGATGGTGATAAGTTAAAAATATACATAATAAATTCTAGAGCAAGTACTAAAATAATGAAATAAAGAGATAATAGGCCAACAGATAAAATAAAATTGAGCATTAGAAAACATTCAATCCAAAGAAGGCATAAAAAGAGTTTAAAAGAACACATTAGATGGGATACACAGAAAACAAGGAAGGGTGACAGTCTTAAACCTAACCATGTTCAAAAAATCACATTAGATGTATATGGTTTAAATACCCAATTAAAAGGTAGAGAGTGTCAAACTGAATAAAAAATCAATACTAAATGACATGCTGCCTAAAACAAATGCACTTTAAACATGAAGACAGAAACAGATTAAGAGTCAGGATGGAAAAAAAGATATATAACACTAACACCAGTCAAAGAAAGCTACAGTGGCTGTATCAACATAAGACAAAGACTTCAGAGCAAAAAATAATATTAGGGATGAGGAAGGTCATTTCATAAAGACAAAGGGGTCAATTTCCCAAGAGGACATAATAATAATAAATATGTATGCCCCTAATAAGGGAGCTTCAGAATCACGAAGTAAAAGCTGATAGAACTATAATGAAAAGTAGCCAGATCTACAGTTATGAATATTAATACTCTTCCTCAATAATTGATAGAATAAGCAGGCAGGAAATCAGCAAAGATATAGTAGAGTTAAATATTCTCAATCAACATGACCTGTTTGACACTTATGGAATGCTCCATGGCAAAGTGTTCTTTCTTCTCCAGTGGTTGCAGAACATTTACTAAGATATTCTGGGAAACAAAATTGGTCTCAATAAATCCCAAAATATTCCAGTCATATAAACTATGTTCTCCCAACAAAATGGAATTAAATTAAGAACCAATATCAGAAAGATGTCTGTAAACCTTCCAAATATTTGGAAATTATATAACAAACTTCTAAATAATCTGTGGGTCCAGAAGAAAGCAAAGAGAAGGTAGAAACTATCTTGAATTTAATAAAAATGAAAGCACAACTTATCAGAATTTTGGGGATGCCAGTAAAACAGTACCTAGTGGGTAAGAAAAGTCTCAAATCAGTGACCTCAGTTTTCATTTTAAGAAAGTAGAAACTTTTAATATGGGTCAAATTAAATTCAAAGCCAAAGAAAAGGAAAGAATAAGGATCAATGGAGAAGTCAATTACCATTGAAAACAGAAAAACAGAGAGAAAATGAAACCAAAAGCTGGTTCTCTAGGAAGATCAGTAACCTTGGTAAACTTCTAGCCAAGCTGATCAGGAAAAATGAGAGAAGACACAAATTACCAAGGTTAGAAATAGGAATGCTGATATCAGTATAGATTATACAGCTATTAAAACAATAATAAGAGAATATTATGAACAACTTTATGCCAATAAATTCATGACCTAGATTAAGTGGACAGATTCTGGACAAATTTTGGCTATATTTCTGCTATTGCCTTATCATTTTTCAACTTCTAAATGTTGGAGCACACAAGATTGCCTTCGGCAATGTTCTCTTTTCAGCCCAACCAGCAAATAGGTCCCCAAAAATCACAGGGAAATTTGAGATGAAAACGTAAACATAACATATAAAAACTTATGGGATGCAGAAAACACAGTGCTCAGAGAGAAATATACAACCATACATACCTACATTAAAAGAGAAGAAAGATATCAAATCAACAACTTAACTGTGTGCATTAAATAACTACAAAAATCAGAGCAAACCAAACGCAAACCTAACAGAAGAAAGGAAATAATAAATACAAAGCAGATGAAATAGAAACAAAAAAACAACAGAGAGAATCAACAAAACAAGAAGTTGCTTATTTGAAAGTAAAATACTAAGAAACCTTTAGCTAGACTGAGTAAAAGAGACAACGCAAATACTTAAAATGAGAAATGAAAATGGGTACATTACTACTGCTTTACAGAAATAGTAAGGATTACAAAATAATACTATAAACAACTGTTGTATTAGTCCATTTTCACACTGCTGTAAAGAATACCTGAGACTGGGTAATTTACAAAGGAAAGAGGTTTAATTTACTCACAGTTCCACATGGCTAGGGAGGCCTCAGGCTTACAATCGTGGCAGAAGAGGAAACAGAAGCGAGTACCTTCTTAGAAAGATGGCAGGAGAGAGAGCGGGCAAAGGGGGAAGAGCCCCTTATGAAACCATCAGATATCGTGAGAACACACTCACTACGATGAGAACAGCATGGGGGAAACTGCCCCCCACGATCCAATCACCTCCCACCAGGTCCCTCCCTCAACACGTGGATTACAGTTCGAGATTTGGATGGGGACACAGAGCCAAACCATATCAGTTGTACACCAACAAATTTGATAACCTGAATGAATGGGACAGATTGAAATTACCAAATTATCAAAACAGGCTCACGAAGATCTCACAACAACAATCTACATAATCAACAGAACTATAAGAAGAAAAGAGATTGAATCAGTAATCAAAAACCTCCCAAAAAAGAAAAGCCCAGGACCATCACCATATTCACTAGTGAATTCTACAAAATATTTTAGGAAGAATTAATACCTTTTTTCAAAATCTTCTCCCCAAAATAGAAAGGACACCTCCTAACTCATTCTATGAGGTCATATTTATCCTGATACCAAAGTCAAACAGACAACACCCTACAAGAAGAGAAAACCACAGATCAATATTCCTTAGGAATACAAATGCAAAACTCTCAACACTAGTAAACTAAACCCAAATGCATGTTAAAAGAAATATACACCATGACCATATGCAATATATGCAAGGGATGCAAGAATGTTTCAACAAGAAAATTAAGCAATGTAATAAACAACATTATGAGAATAAATGGGAAAAAAAACCACATGATCATCTCAGTTGATGAAGAAAACACATTTCACCAAATCTGACACCCTTGCATGATAACAACACTAAGAAAACTAGGAATAGAAAGGAACTTCCTCAAAATAATAAAAGGCATTTATGAAAAAACAACAGCTAACATCATAATGGTGATAAACTGAAAACTTCTCCCCTGCTGTGGTTTAAATGCATGTGTCACTTTCAAATACATATGTTGGAACTTAACACCCAAAGTGGTGATATTAAGAGGTGAGGTCCTTGGGGTGATTAGGCCATAAGGGATCCAGTCTCATGAATGGGATTAATGACCTTATGAAAGGGCTTGAGGGAAAGAGTTTCTCCCTTCAGCTCCTCCCACCATGTGGGGACAGAGCAATTGTCCCCTCTGGACAATGCAGCGACATGGCACCATCTTGGAAACAGACAGTGAGCCCCTACCAGACACCAAATTTGCTAGTGTCTTGATCTTGGACTTCCCAGCTTCCAGAAGTATAAGAAATAAATTTCTGTTCTTTATAAATTACCCAGTCTAAACTGTTTTGTTATTCTAGCTTGAATGGACAAAGGCACCCTCAAAATCAGGAACAAGACAAGGAGCACCTTTTCTTCTCCCTCTTTTGCCACTGCTATTCAGCATTGTCCTAGAATTTCTAGCCAGAGCAAATAGGAAAGAAAAAGAAATAAAAGTTATCCAAGTTGGAAAAGAAGAAGTAAAACTATACCTATTCATAGGTGGCATAATTCTATACATAAGAAATCCCAAATAAATGAATGCAGCAAAGTGTAGGATACAAGATCAACACACAAAAATCAGTGGTATTTTAAACACCAGCAATGAACAATCTGAAAAGAAAACTAAGGAAACATTCCGCTATGATTAAATGCTCCTCCTCTCTAACACTATGTTGAAACTTAATGCAACAGTATTAAGATGTGGGGCCTTTTAGAGGTGATTGTGTCGTGAGGGCTCTGCCATTAACCACTAATAGGTTAATAGGTTAATGAGCTATTACAGGGGTGGGTTAGTTATGACGAGAGTGAGTCTGTTATAAAAGCCAGTTTGGCATGCTCTAGCTCCCTCTCCATGTGATGCCCAGTGCTGCCGCAAAATTCTGCGGAGTCCACACCAGCAAGAAGATCCTCACCAGATGTAGCCTCCAGAACAGTAAGAAAATCCAGCAAACCTACTACTAAGTACATATCCAAGGGAAATGAAACCAGTGTATTGAAAAGGTATCTGCATTCTCATGTTTATTGCAGCACTATTCACAATAGCCAAGATATGGAACCAACCTAGGTGTCCATCAATTGATAAATGGATAAATAAAATGTGGTATAAATACACAATGGAATACTATTTAGCATAAAAATGAATGATATTCTGTCACTGGTGATGACATGGAGGGACCTGGAGGACATTATATTAAGTGAAATAAGCCAGGCACAAAAAAACCAACACTGCATGATCTCACTCAAGTGGAATCTACAAAATGTTGATCTCATAGAAATAGAGAGCAGAAAAGTGGTTACCAGAGGATGGGGAGGACAAGGGGTGGGGAGATGGAGAGAAGTTGGTCAACAGGTACAAAGTTACAGTTAGATTGGAGGAATCAGTTCTGGTGTTCTATTGCACAATAGAGTGACTATAGTTAACAATCATATATTGTATATTTCAAAATAAGAGGATTTTTAATATCTTTACCTCAAACAAATAATAAATGTTTGAGGTAATAGATTTGCTAATCATCCTGATTTGATTATTGCACAATGTATACATGTATCAAAACAGCACGCTGTGCCCCATAAATATGTGTGATTATTATATATCAATTACAAATAAAATACATCTTTTAAAAAGTACTATAAAAGGTTGGGCATGGTGGCTCACGCCTGTAATCCCAGCACTTTGAGTCAGGGGGATCACCCGAGGCCAGGAGTTTAAGACCAGCCTGGCCAACATGGTGAAACCCCGTCGCTACTAAAAATACAAAAATTAGCCAGATGTGGTGGTGCATGCCTGTAATCCCAGCTACTCGGGAGGCTGAGGCAGGAGAATCGCTTGAACCCAGGAGGCAGAGGTTGCAGTGAGCTGAGATTATGCCACTGCAGTCCAGCCTGGGCAACAGAGTGAGACTGTCTCAAAAAACAAAAAAACAAACAAACAAACAAATAAAAGTTCTATAAAAGATAAATATATTTTCTTTATAAATTACCCAGTCTCGGCCGGGTGTGGTGGCTCACGCCTGTAATCCCAGCACTTTGGGAGGCCAAGGTGGGCAGATGACCTGAGGTCAGGAGTTCCAGACCAGCCTGGCCAACATGGTGAAACCCTGTTTCTATTAAAAATACAAAGAGTTAGCCGGGTGTGGTGGTGGGCACCTGTAGTCCCAGCTACTTGGGAGGCTGAGGCAGGAAAATCACTTGAACCCAGGAGGCAGAGGCTGCAGTGAGCCAAGATTGGGCCACTGCACTCCAGCCTGGGCAGCAGAATGAAACTCCATCTCAAAAAATAAAAGACAAACAAACAAACAAGTAAATAAATTACTCACTCTCAATTATTCAGTTATAGCAACAGAAAACAGACTAAGACAAATTTACAATAGCATCAAAAAGAATAAAATACCTAGGAATAAATCTAACCAAGAACATGTACAACTTGTACACTGAAAACTACAAAAACATTTCTGAAAGAAATTAAAGAATACTTAAAAAAAATTTCCATATTCAAGGATGATTCTTAAGATGGCAATACTACTCAAAATTATCTACAGATTCATTATAATTCCTATCAAAATTCCAATGGCCTTTTTTGCAGAAATGGAAAACCTGATCCTAAATTCATATGGAATTAAAGAGCCCCATATTGACAAAGCAACCTTGAAAAAGAAGAATAAAGTTCAAGGACTCACATTTCCTGATTTGAAAACATACCATGAAACTACAGTAATCAAAAGATCGTGGTAATGCCAGAAGTGTATACATTTACACCAGTGGAATAGAATTGAGAATCTTAGAAATAAAGATATGTCTGTGGCTAGCTAACTGATTTTTAACAAGAGTGTCAAGACTACTCAATGGGTAAAGAATAGTCTCTGCAACAAAGTGTGCTGAGACAACTGGATATTCACATGCAAATGAAGGACATTTGATCCTTACTTCATACCATATACAAAATTTAACACGAAAATGGATGAAAGACCTATATGTAAGAGCCAAAACTATACAACTCTTAGAAGAAAACATAGGTTAAATCATCATGACATTGGATTCACATTAGTTTCTTAGATATGACACCAAAAGCATAAACAACGAAAGAAAAAATAGATAAATTACATTTTATCAAAATTTAAAATGTTCATGTTTCAAAGGACACCACCAAGAAAGTGAAGACAGTCCACAGAAGGGGAGAAAATATTTGCAAATTGTATGTCTAATAAAACTCTAGTATCCAGAATATATAGAGAACTTCTACAATTCAATAAGAAAAAGACAGACAACCCAATTTTCAAATGGGCAAAGGACTTGAATACACATTTCTCCGAAGAATACATACAAATAGCCAATGGGCACATCAAAAGATGCTCAACACCATTAGTCATTAGGGAAACGCAAATCAAAACCACAAAATGGCACCACTTCACACCCACTACAGTGAGTACAATTTTTTTTAAACTAGAAAATAATAAGTGTTGGTAAGGATGTGGAGAAAATTGGAACACACGTGCATTACTGGTGGGAATGTAAAGGGTACAGCTGCTGTGGAAAACAGTTTGGTAGTTGTGGACAAAAGGTTAAATATTAAATTTAAACTGAATTGAACGTGGACACAAACAATGGTCACCAAGTCCCAGAACAGGTTGTGTGAGCCCCTTGAGGCATTCACTCAGCACTGTTTTGGACAAATCTCTATTTCAATCTATTCCTATATGTTAGTTATTGAAAAACAACAGACAATCCCCAAAACAAGTTGACCTTTTTGTGTTCCTTAATCCCAGTCATGAAGGTCCCTCGTGACTGGACCTCAGGCCAAACAACTCATTACAAAAAGACCTAGGGTCCCAGACCGTGCCAAAGCTTCATGAGACCTTTCCTCATCAGTGCACAGACAAGTGGCTGACTCTGGAGCCCAGGCTGCTGCTTCCCAGTCTGGTGGTGAAACCTCCATAGTCTGGTGAGTGTAGTGGCCAACTCTGGAACCCAGGCTGTTGCTTTGCGGTCTGGTGATGAATTCCCGATAGTCTACTGAGTGTAAATATGTATATATCTTTTCCCTTCTCCCCTTCCCATTGCAATTTGCTTATTATATCAATTTGCTTATTATATCATTTTCTTATTATATCTGCATTGCCATTTACGTGGGAGAAAGGTCGTTTACCCTTAAAGGTATTGTGTGTGTGTCTTTTCTTCTCCCCTTGCGTGTTTCCACACAGAACAGTGGTTCCTCAAAAATTCAAATACAGAATTCCATATGACCTAGCAATTCAAATTCTAGTTATATACCCCAAAGAATTGAAACTGGTACTTAAACAAATACTTGTACACTAATATTCATAGCAGTACTACTTGCAATGGCAAAAGGTGGGAACAACCTAAATGTCCATCAATGGATGATAGATAAACAAGCAGTGGGGAGGGGGGATAGAGAGTGACAGTCTAATAGATACAAAGTTTTCTTTGGGGGTGATAAAAATATTTTGCCATGTTATAGAGGTGTTGGTTACATAATATTACAAACATACTAAATGTCACTTTTAAATGGTTTCTTTTATATTATGTGAATTGCACCTCAATAAAATATCTATCTGGCTGGGCTCGGTGGCTCACACCTGTAATCCCAGAACTTTGGGAGGCCGAGGCAGGTGGATCACCTGAGGTCAGGAGTTCGAGATCAGCCTGACCAACATGGTGAAACCCTGTCTTTACTAAAAATACAAAAATTAGCTGGGTGTGGTGGTGGGCACCTGTAATTCCAGCTACTTGGGAGGCTGAGGCAGGAGAATCACTTGAACCTGGGAGGCAGAGGTTGCAGTGAGCCGAGATCATGCCATTGCACTCCAGCCTGGGTGACAGAGTGAGAATCCCTCTCAAAAAATAAAATAAGATATTTGTTTAAAATTTGATTATATATTTTCTAAAAGATCTACTCTTTTGCTGTGTGGAGAGTTGCATTAGTCGGGATAAGATAGTTTTGGTGCAGTGTGATGAAATCAGGATATTAGTTTTGGACATTTAAATTTGAAATGTTATAAGCTATCATAGTGTAGCTGTTGAATAGAAAGCTGAATATACATGTGTTGGAGTTCAAGAGACAGTCAGTCTGCAGAAAAAAATCAGGAATCACAGCATTTAGATAGTGTTTAAAGGTATAGGATTAGGTGAGATCGACACTGATAGTGAAAATAGGCTGTTGTTATGAGGTCATCTTGAGTCACTTTTGGTAATTTGTATGCATATTAGTCCATTCTCACACTGCTATAAAGACATACCTTAGACTGGGTAATTTATATAAAGAAAAAGATGTTTAATTGGCTCACTGTTCTGCAGGTCTGTACAGGCTTCTGTTTCTTGGGAGGCCTCAGGAAACTTACAATCATGGAAGAGGCAAAGGGGAAGCAGGCGCATATTCACATGGCTGGCAGGAAGGAGAGAGCAATGGGGGAAGTGCTACACACTTTCAAACAAGCAGATCTTGTGAGAACTGTATCACGAGGCGGCACTAAGGGGATGGCGCTAAACCATTAGAAGCCACCCTCATGATCCCACCAGGCCCCACCTCCAACAATCAGGATTACAATTCAACATGAGATTTGGGTGGGGACACAGAGCCAAACCATATCAGTATGTGTCCCTTTCATATGGGTTATCTAATTTATAGGTGCACAATTATTCATAGTATTCTGTTATAATCCTTTTTACTTCTGTAAAGCAGTAGTAATGTATCCATTTTCGTTACTGATTTTAGTTATTTGCATCTTTTCCTTTTTATTTTCTTAGTCTAGCTAAAGGTTTGTCAATTTTGTTGCTCTTTTCAAATAATCAGTTTTTTGTTGTGTTGATTCTCTCTATTGTGTTTCTAGTCTCTATTTCATTTGTCTCTGCTCTATATTTATTATTTCATTCCTTCTGTGAGCTTTGGGTTTGGTTTGCTCTGATTTTTCTAGTTATTTAATATATTACAGTTAAGTTGCTGAGCTCTCTCTGAGTGCTGTTTTTGCTGTATCCCCTACATTTTAGTATGTTGTGTTGATGTTTTCATCCATCTCTAAGTATTTTCTATTCCTCATACTTTGGAGGTATCTATTGGTTAAGAGTGTGTTGTTTAGTTTACACATATTTATAAACTTTTCAGTTTTCCTTCTGCTATTGATTTTTAGTTTTATTCCATTGTGGTCAAAGAAGATATTTTGTATGATTTCAAGCTTTTTAACTTATTGAGTTGCTTTATTACCTAACATGTTCTATTCTGGAGCGCAGTCAAGTGCACTTGAAAAGAATGTGTATTCTTCTGTTGTTGGGTAGAGTGTTCTGTAGATGTATGTTAAGTCTAGTTAGATCTTTAGTGTTGCTGAAGTCCTCTATTTAATTATAGTTTTCTATTCATTATTTAAAGTAAGTATTCGAAGTCTCCAGCTATTATTATGGAAATATTTTGCTTTTTAATTCTGTTAATGTCTGCTTCATTTAATTTAGGGTTCTCTTGATTAATGTGCATATGTTTATAATTGTTATATCTTCTTGATTAATTGACCCCTTTATCAATGCACAATGACTTTCTTTGTCCCTTGTAATGATTTTTGACTTAAAGACTATTTTTTTCTGATATTAGTGTAGCCATCCTAGCTTTGTTTTGGTTATTATTTGCATAGAATATCTTTCTCTATCTTCCCATGTTCAACTCACTTGTGTCTTTTGATCTAAAGTGAGTTTTCCATATACAGCCTTCAGTTGGATTGTTTTCTTAATTCATTCTGCCAATCTCTGCCTTTTGATTGGAGAGTTTAATAAATTTACATTTAAAGTTATTACTGATAAGAAAGGACTTATTTCAGCCATTTTACCATTTTTTCTGCATGTTTTACACTGCATGTTTTTACATGTTTCTACATGTTTCTTCTGTTTAGTTTATTTTTTGGAGTGTACCTCTTTGATTCCTTTCTCATTTTTTTCTGTAATATATATTATATATATTAATTTCTGTAATATATATTCTGTTATATATTATATATATTACAGAAAAGTAAGATATATATTATATATTACAGAAAAGTAAGATATATATTATATATCTATTACTTTTGCATCAACTGGTGCTATTCCACTTCTGGAACTAGAAGTCCCATATAGTTCCAGAAGTGGAATAGCACCAGTTGGTGCAAGCTCATAGTAACAGCCATGGGTTTGAGCAGGCACTGCATGATACAGATGGGAACCTGTGGGGTCTAGGAAGTTGGGCTGCTGCGAGGCAGTGAGGAGGATAACATTCATTCCTGACTGTTCCTGCCTCACCCCACCCAGTCCTTCCCCACTGGGTGCTCATGACCCCACAAAAGAAGGTAGATTACAAAAAGGGACATTTTTCAGGCTTTGAGTCTCAAAGCCTAAGAAGGCCCTTAGATTCTGCCTGCCACCATCAGGTGGAGCTTCACAGGGGAGGGACTCACTGAAAGATAATCCTTGACAGACGAATAGGATTTCATGGACAAGAAAAACATGGTGGATAAGAATAAGGATTCCACCACCTCTCCTTACTTCACCACCAGCCTCCCATCAATCAGGACCCCATTACCAAGGCTAACAGGAAAAAGAGGAGTTGGGGGGAACAACGAGAGAGTAGATTTGAGCAGATCCCAAAGAGGGGGTCCTGCAAGTTGCTCGCAGGCTGAGACTGAGGGAAACATAAGAATACAGGTAAGTGTGTTGGGTCTCTGAGCAGAGGCAAGCTAAGCCTGTATCCAGGTAAGACTCTGGAGATGTAGCAGGGGTGTTCTCAAGAGAAATGATCACATCAGGCTGGGCATCGTGGCTCATGCCTGTAATCCCAGCACTTTGGGAGGCCGAGGCAGGCAGATCACTTGAGGTTAGGAGTTCGAGACCAGCCTGGCCAACATGGCAAAATGGCGTCACTACTAAAAATACAAAAATTAGCCAGGCATGGTGGTGCGCGCCTGTAGTTCTAGTTACTCGGGAGGCTGAGGTATGAGAATTGCTTGAACTCGGGAGGCAGAAGTTGCAGTGAGCCAAGATTGCACCACTGCACTCAAGCCTGGGTGACAGAGTGAGACCCTGTCAAAAAAAAAAAGAAAGGAAAGAAGGAAGGAAGGAAAGAAAAAAAAGAGAGAAAGAAAGAGAGAGGGAAAGAGGGAGAGAGGGAGGGAGGGAGGGAGGGAGGAAGGAAGGAAGGGTTGCATTGGACGTCTAAGCAGAGGGAATCTTAGGCAATCTCTCAACAGAAGAATTCCTGAGAGCCAAAATCAGCCCAGAAGGGGCAGGAAGGTAGCCAGCCAGACCCTAAGAGGTCATGAGGTCACACAACAGGGATGAAGGATGCCACCCTCCCCACTCCATGACATGCACAGACAAATGATACCAAGAAGCAGAAGCCCTCTCTTCTCCAAATTCCAGCCTCAGCTATAAGGGAAGAGAGAAGGTCCTGTGTTGGCCAAGATTAGGATTCTTGCACTTCATCAGAGTGGGGGTTGGAATTAGAATAAAAAGGATTTCTATTTCCTGCATGCCTGAGTAGTGGCTACAATTTCTGCTCATTGCTGTAGAATGCAAGACAGGTAGTAGAGGCAGATGTGAGAGGGTGGAGACAGGATGTGCACTGGAGAGAAAGACATGGCGGGGCAGACAGCACCAGTCTTCCAGACTCCGCGACCAGTGCCTCCCCAGAGTTATGCACCTCTCAAGGTTCCCACAGCCTGTTGGGGTGGGGTGAGGCAGGTAGGGATGCTCCGAGCATCTGTCAGGCTGGCATCTGGTCTCAGCTCTGAGTTGCAGAACGAGAGAGCTGCTGCCAAGACCCCCTTTTTGTTTCTTTTTTCACCTTTCCTTGACTCAACAGCAAATGAATGGATCAATGCAGTGAAATAACCAGGAAGTGACCACTCCTGGCTCATCTATCCGTTCATTCAAGGAACTGTGTCCCAGGCAGCAGTGTAGGGAGGTGCTGATTCTGCCTGGCACCACCAGGGGGAGCTTCACAGAGGAGGGATTCATTGAAAGGGGAACCTTGAAAGGTGAACAGGATTTCATGGACGAGACAGAGTAGGGTGAGTGGCTCTACATCCAGACACATGAGGAAAGGCTGTTGGGTCTGGAATCTGGACAGAAGGGCCATGGCCCATTTTCCTCTGTGTTCCCATCACCCAGTAGAGAAATCGACGGAAGGAGGACAGATGGTCAGACAGATAAATGGGTAAAGGAGTCAGTGGAGGGATGGCTGCACTATGGCTATTTCAAGCAAGGTGGAAAAGACTCAAGAAACACAAGAAGCAAGTTAAAGTCTCTAATACAGTCAGCCTAGGTGCCAACTCAACCTCATTTCAAGCTTGCCCCTCTGTGTGCAATGCCCCGCTCCATGGCTCAGTGTGATGAGCTCCAGCTGAGGCCGAGAGCCAGCGTGGTGTGGTGGACGCACAGGCCTCAGCTCAGCCCAGCCTCCCCTCCACCCCTTGCATCATCACACCCAGCCCTGCTCAACTCCGCATGGGTCTTGAACCGGCAGACTCCTTTCATATGGGCTGTCCCTCCTCCTGGAAAATCACTACCCTCTCCATGTCCACTGAACTCTGATTTACTCTTAGATCCATTTGGGGACCCAAAAGGGAGTCTACACTATATTGTATGGGTGACCCTCCCTACCACTGCCCAGCTGTTAGGGGATTGCTTCTCTGCCTTTGTAGCTGTTCTCTACTCTCCCCTCGAGAACATGCGGGGTTATTCTACTTTTCTGGGGATATTCGGCTTAGCCATAGTTCCTTGGGAAACCTTCCCTGATTCTCCCACACTGGAGGAGTTGCTACTTCCTGGGTGCTCAAAGAACAACCTGCATTTCCCACATTCAAGTGTCTATCCCACCACACCCAAGTCACATCACTCTGAGTGGCATGGCCAGGATCTGGACAGCAGCCGGTCTGAGATGAGGGCCCAGGCACTCAGCGAGTGACAGTGCTCTCTGCCTTATCTCCAAGGACCAACAGGGAGCAGGGGGCTGTATTGTCAGCTGCCCCACAGTCATCCTGCACACAAGCAACCTCTAGCCCAGTGGCTTACAGCAGGCTACAGTAAGCTGAGATCACGCCACTGTACTCCAGGCTGGGCAACAGAGTGAGACTCCATATCAAAAAAAAAAAGAAGAAAAAATAAATAATCAGTACAAAATACAATAGGTAAATAATCACAGATAAAATTTTTAATTGACTAAACCATGGATAAAGTAATAGTTCATAAAGAAAACTTGCAGAGGCAGGAGTTACATTGGCAAAATTTGACAAGAAGTTTTAAGGCCCAATGGATAAATCAAATCTTCATTGAGAGACCTATAAGAAAGGTAATTTATCCCAGTGAAGATACTTTCAGTGAAATAAAAATTAAAATGAACAACCAGATGAATGAACGAAATTGAGGCAAACCCGAGAAAGAGCACATCATTCTCAGGAGTGACCAGATGGTGGCAGCAAACACCAGTGATGGAATCAGCCCAGCCAAGGTTCTGGAAGTGTGGTCTTCCCACTAGTACCGGAAAGTGTAGAATCATCCCAGGCAAGGACAAACAACACGCTGCTGCGAACGTGTTAGAAAGGCAAATCCCTAACCCACTGAATCAGTAACTGCTAGGAATGAGGCCCAGCAATCTGCATTTTGAGAAGCTCTCCAGGTGATTCTGGTGCACACTCAGGTTTACCCCAAGAGCAGTTAAACCCTGCAGCCAAGCACAGGGCTATTTTCTCCAACATTAGCAGGTGCTACTCGAGGAGTCGATTATGTGTTTATTTTACCAAACAGTTTCTGCCTAGCCACTAAACTGCTTTTTTTGAAAGAAACAAAATGCAGGCAGCTCTCTGTGAGACTCAGGTGCCTGCTGCAGTCAACCTTGAGTCCAGTCTGAAACAGGGACGGGGGTGGTCTGAGCCCTGTGTCTGCAAGAATAGCCCTGAGGCTGGCCACCCTTGCCCCAGCTGTCCTGCTGGCCTGAGCACTGTGGCCGCCGTCTCCACCTGTCTCCTCCTTTCCTGCCTCTTGCTTCTCACACTGATTCCCTGGAGCTGCTGGTTTTCTGTTGGTCTTGTGTCTCCTCTTGGGAAGAGACCCTATAATCTACCCTGGGGAATGGGGTTTGCATTTCTGGCTGTTGGCTCCTCCCAGCCCCGGAACTGGAGGTCAAACGTTATGCACCACAGAGCTCTCTTTCCATGGGTCCCCAGCTGATAAATTAGAGGAAAAACCCAAACCGGGCCCTCCTACTCCACCAGCTCTGTCCTCGTTCCTCCCACAAAAGGCCGAGTGATACCCTCAGTCACACCCCATGAGGGTGTTCCACCTGGGGTGCCTGGAGGGAGGTGAAGAGATGATGACATGACCCCCAAAGCCTTAGAACAGAAGTCTGGATACAGCAGCTGACAGAGCATGGTCTGTGGAGGAGAACAGATCTGGCCCAGTCTCAGTCCATCACTTCCTGCAGGGTTCATCCAAGTCACCAAACGTCACCGAGACTCCATTGCTATTGAGGCCTCAGTTTGCAAATCTTTGAAATGAAGCCAAACCTACATTTCTCACAGTTCACTAAACGAGCAAGCATGTAAATGCCCAGCACAGCGAGTCACACATGGTAGGGCCCCCGTACATGGACATCCTTCCCTTCCCTCAGGAAGCAGTGAGTTTCCTGTGCCTCGCAGTTTAGGAGCAGAAAGGGCCTCCCATTTTGTCAGAAACATTGTGGAGCATAGATTACAAACTCAAATGGCTATAGGATGCAGGAGAATCACAGAAACCAGTGCAGTAGCTGGATGGGGCCCGTGAGAAACGGGAGGGTGTGTGCTGGGTCTAAAGGGATCAGCGGGGCAGTTACCGGGCTAGTATGGGGCCTAGAGTCACCAGACTTTCTTGTTTTTCAAGAGAAGCTGGAAACATGTATGTGGGTGTGAAGCCCTGGCTACAGCCCGCCACTTCTGTTCTACTCAACTGTAGCAGAGGGGACCCAGGCCCAGGTCCCTCCTGCTGTGGCCTGTTGCAGCTGGCACCTGCGAGTCTCCTGGGCTTTGCAGCTTGACTCCAGCACCACTTACAAGAGATCTAGGAGCCTCTTCTCCATCTGTAAAAGGGAGCTACTCATCGTATTGACTTCACCAGTGCAATGGCAGTTGTGAAAGGGTTTTGAGACTGCATCCATAGTGGGGTGTTCCTGTCAACCAGGGAGAGCAAAGCACATCTAATAAGGACTCCCAGGGAGGCACCATTAGAGCCCAACACAGTCAGGTTTGTTACCTTGGTGCAATGAGAGAGACTGCACAGTGCACACCCGGGAGCATGGGGCATCCCCCAAGAGGAGTAACAGGCGACTACAGGATGGGGGAAGGGTGGAGCACAGGGACAGATTTACATAAAACAGGGCTGTAGGGAAGGGCTCTGCTGAGAGATGGACCTTGGCTCCTGTGCCCCTGGAAGCTACAAAGTTAAGATCAATGTGGCAGATTGTGTCTGAGGTCCCTTACCTGGAGTTCTGCAGCCGGGTTGGAAATGGAGGCTGTTTCTCTGAGCCACAGTGAGCCCCTGACTTGGGTCCTCCAGAGACTACTGGGAGGTCCCATTCTCACTTAGGATTCCAAGCAGCCCAGTGTCTGGCTGTCTAAGATTTCAGAGAAAAAGGTTTCTCAGCACCTCATCTTCTGTGGTTCTACAGATGTGGGGTCCTAACAACAGTAGGTGCCCCTCCAGCGCCGTCCAGGTTCCCCTCTCAAAGTTGCATGCAGCCAGCCCAGCCCACTCCCTCCTGCTCCTGCTGCTGTGGGCAGCCACCCATCTCTATTCCCCACTTCCTCAAATGTGCCCTCCACCTCTGTGCTTTCCTGGATCCTGGATCTCCTTTTCTGTGTTTCTTTGTTTTGTTGTGTTGCTTTTTGTTTTTCAGAGACAGGGTCTGTCTCTGGAGTGCAGTGGCTGGAGTGCAATGGCACGATCCTAGCACACCACAGCCTCAACCTCCTGACCTCAAGTGATCTGCCCACCTCAGCCTCCCAAAGTGCTGGGATTACAGGCATGAACCACTGTACCTGGCCAGGATCCTGGCTTTCTCTGGGGACACCATCCCTTTCCTGCCCTCCCTCTGGGTTAATTCAATAGCCCCTCCAGGGCCTCTGAGTACCAGCATCTGCCACCTCCAGGTCCCCATCAGAGGTGACCATGTATCCCGGGTTGGCTACATGTCATGGAATGGATGGTCACCCAGCTCCAGTGGAAGCAGAAAACACCCAGAGACCTCCTCTGCATTAAAGCGTGGGTCTCTGGGCATGCTTCTCCCTCCTCTCCCCCCTTCCTGAGACCAGCAGAGTGTCAGACACCGGAAGCGTCCCCATCTCTTCTCCCATCCTCCTGCAGGGTCCTCAGGCCCTGCCCCACTCCAGCCAGCAGCAGGTGCTAGGCCCGCATGACCAGACTCCCTCTTCTTTCCAGCTGACATCCAGCTGTTTCCTCACCCACCCCCACTTTGTTCCCTCCCCACATGTACCCTCATGCGGCATCCATTCCAGGGAGGGGGTACAGAGAGTAAACATAGTCCATAAACAATGTCACACATCAGATGGGGAGACACGCTGGAAAAAACTAAAGCATCCAAGGGGGCTAAGAAGTGCTGGTATGCGGTTTTAGACAAGGCCATCCTGGAAGCCTTCATTAACAAGGACGGATGGCAGGGAGGTGAGGGAAAGAGACAGCAGATGGGTTCCCTTCCAGGCAGAGGAAGGGCCCAGGCAAAGGACCAGAGGTGGACAGTGGGGTATGCTGAGGAGACACTGGGAGAAGTGAGGGCAGGGCAGGGCAGGGCCTGGGAGGGAGGGACGGCACTGCCAACCATCACAGGGCCATCACTAAACAGGTTGGCTGGGATCCCACGTTAGCTTGTTGGTGTTGTAAAGGTGATTACCTTAAAGAGGCCCCATTCACAGTGGGTGAGGTGGAGCCCAGCGTCATGCTTTTAGAGGACATTTGGCTTTCTGCACTAAGAAGTATAAAAATGGTCCTACCTCTACCTTTAGGACCAGTCATTACGCATCTGGGACTGTATCCTTACGAAAAAGCCCAAACATCAGATCCCTCAGCTTGATCCCTTTCATTAGCCATGGGAAGGCAGGTGGCTTCCTGGGCCTGGCACACTTCCTCTCTAGTCCCCAAGGCTCTGCAGTCCTACGTCCCCCTCCCCACACCTGGTCTCCCATCTGGACCTGAACTGCCTGCCTGGGGTGTGGCCTAGATCTGTCCCCACCAATGCAGGAAAAAATCGTCGTCCTCACCCTTCTGTCCTAAATGCCCTCTGCCAGATGCTTCTCAGACATCCCTTCTAATGGGCTCTAAAGATGGGCCTGTCTGACATAGGAGAGGGGACAACTTGGGCCAGCCTCTCCCTCCTGCCACGAGTAACAGGTCCTGTCTGGAAGTTCTCATGTGGGTACAGCCTGGCCCCCGTGCCTGGTCAGTGTGTCCCACCCCTCACCATAGATGGCTGAACAAGACTACTCAGGGCCAGGCCTGGCCCTGCTGGTCTCCTTCCAGCCACCAGGGAAAGGACAGAGTCTTTCTTTGAGACAGGGTCTCATTCTCACCTAGGCTGGAGTGCAGTAGTGGGATCATAGCTCACTGCAGCCTCCACCTCCTGGGCTTAAGGGGTCCTCCCACCTCAGCCTCCCAAGTAGCTGGGACCACAGGCAGATGCCGCCACACTTGGGTGATTTTGTAGTGATGGGGTCTTGCTTTGTTGCCCAGGCTGGTGTCAAACTCCTGGCCTAAAAGCAATCCTCCCATCTTCAGCCTCCCAAAGTGCTGGGATCAGGTATGAGTCACTGTGCCCAGCCTGAGGCTTTCTGAGCCGATCCATCTCTGTGCAGGGAGTCTGGAATCTGCTCCTTATCTGGGGTCAGATGAGAAGAATGTCCCAGGTCATGCAGTCTGCATCCAGATGGCATCTGAGATGTTCAAATGAGGAATGGCTCCTGCCCGTTTATCACTCGGTCATTTACAAACTATGGACAGCCTGCTCTGTGCCTGCCTGGTGGGACATGGAGCCCACCGATGCTCAAACACAACTTGCTGGGGCCTCACAGCCCAGGGGAGAGAAGCACACTCCTTTATGAAAGATACATGTGTGTGTCATCAAGAATTAGTTTGAAACTAGCTTTAAATGCAGTTTAATTAATAGCATCTTAATTACCCGGAAAAACAATGCTCTGGTAATTCTTCTTGGCACTCAAAGCAGACCATGTTTTCAACTGGGTTGGAGTGCCTGGTTGATCGGCCCCACAGACATCCCCCCACGCCTGTCCCCCACACACCTGTGGGATGCACACAGCTGAAGGCTACACCTGAATTCCTATCTCTAGCTACAAAGTATCCAAGTCCCTGCCATGTCACCATCTGGAGCTCCAGGCCTATCTAGAGGACACCCCTCCCCTACTCAGACAGCCATGAGTCAGGCTTCCCTGCAGAACCTGACCAATATGGCCAGTGGGCCAGAGTTAGGGTCAGTCAGGGATGTCCCTCACCCCTGCCCACACCACAAGGAGCCAGTTCTTCCCATCACGAAGTAAGCCTTTTCTCCAGGCCCCTTCTGTGACATCACTAGGAGTTTGGGGTCTGGTCCTCTCAGGATCTCGAGTCAACATTCCAGACTTTTTCTCTCATGGAGACCTCATCTTGCCACATGGACACTGTGTAGGCTACCAAGCTCCCTCAGATGTGTTTTAACATCCTGTATCTCAACAAGAGAGAATCAGAACTCTGGTCACTTAGCTTCCTGAGAGACCCTCCAAAGAAAGCCACCTTTGGTGTGTTCCTTCTGCATGGGTCAGGCACGGCACCAGGTGCTGGGACACGGTGATGACAGATCTGAGAGGGTCACAGACCATGTGTGTGACACACTGTCCGACCGTGATCACATGTAGTGATAGGGGCGGCATTGCCAAGCAGCCCGCTGTTCGTGGCCCAGGACTGCCCACGTGACCACCATTCCTCCTGGATGCTGCTCTGGTGCCCTCCCTGCTCTGCTGGGGCTCTACCAGCTTCCTTTCCAGGTCCCAGCCCCATTCCTGAGCACAAACCACAGGTGAGGTAAGGGTCCCAACACCCCTCACCTCAGCACAAGCCCACTGTCCCCTGGCTCCTGCAGGGGTGAGAGGAGGGCTCTGGGCAGAGCCACCTGCAGCTGAGGCTGGACACTGGAGGGGATGGTGAATGCTTCAGCTCTTTCTTCCTGCCTCCACTTCCCAAAGGTGAGGAGCTTGAAGCCACCCCTGAAGCCACTCAGTATGGCCTCTTGTGCTATGAGTCACCCAGCCCCTGGAGCCCTGATCAATCATTAAAGCTACATTCATGGGGTCTCGGCACACAGGCTCTGGGTCCACCTGCCTGGGTTCAGATCCTGGTTCTGTCACTTCCTAGTGGTGCAGTAAATTACTTCATCTCTCTGTGTGTCAGTTTCATCACATATAAAGTGGGAGAGAATAATAATATGAACGTGATAAGGGTGTTGTGAGGAGCTGCAGGTTATAAAACCAAATTAGTGTGTTGTGAACTGCATTTAACAAATAAAATGAATAAAAGAGCATGCCTCACTTCAGAGAGGTTGGTATGCATGTGTGGCGCAAACCATTCCAGGTGTTTTTCTGCCTGAGGTCCCATTGTTTGGGCTTGGGAGATATGAGATGGATTCAACACAGGCCAAGAGCCCTTCATGACAAGACTGGGGTGGAGGCATGTGCACAGGGGCCAGCACTCGCCTGTGTTGAGGACCCCACTCTGCTGGGAAAGGGGGAAAGGAAACACAGTCAGCAGTGGGACCAGGACAGCAGGACACATGTGTCCTGGGCAGGCACCCTTGTGTGTGGCAGAGAGTGCAAGGTCCACACACCCAGGGCCTCAAAAGCCAAGCTGCACTGGTACATTTGACCCCAGGCAAAGAGAATGTAAAGCAGGAGGATGACCCATTAGACAACTATCTAATGAATTCCTACTATGGGGAAGAGCAACATTTCTTTTTTTTTTTTTTTTCTTTTTTCTTGAGACAGAGTTTCACACTGTCGCCCAGGCTGGAGTGCAGTGGCATGATCTCCACTCACTGCAACCTCTGCCTCCTGGGTTCAAGCGATTCTCCTGCCTCAGCCTCCCAAGTAGCTGGGATTAGAGGCATGCACCACCATGCCTGGCTAATTTTTTGTATTTTTAGTAGAGATGGGGTTTCATCATGTTGGCCAGGCTGGTCTTGAACTCCTGACCTTGTGATCCGCCTGCCTCGGCCTCCCAAAGTGCTGGGATTATAGGTGTGAGCCACCATGCCCGGCCTGGAAGAGCTACATTTCTAAAGGTTGACTCAGGGAGCAATTTGGGGGATCAGGAGCTGGTGTCAACACCGGGTGAGGGGATTTGCCAACAGGCTACTGCAATAGCCCCAGCAAGAGCTCTTAAGGACACAGGTCAGAATGTCTAGAGAAAGAAGAGATAAAGGGTGCCCAGCCCTCTGTACTTGGGGCTGAAAAGTCCCCCTTACCCAAGGGAGGACACCTACATTGACCCTGCACACAGGTCAGAGGGACTATGGAAAGAGAAGGCCACAGAGGAAGCCCTCAGACCTCCAAGCACCAAAGCCACACAGCCAAGTGGATGAAGAACTCATGAGCGTGAGTCAGATGGCCTGTGTCTCGGCACATTACTCATCCACCTGTGCTGCCAATTTTCAACTGATAAAATGGGGCCCAGAAGAGGACTGACCTCACAGGGGTGTTCTGAGAGTGAAAGCTAATGACAGTAAAAGCCTTCCGCTGTGTCTGGCACCATGACATCTCCTGACCTGTCTCTCTCACATCAGACTTGCCTAGACACGGCGGTGGCTGACAGCCTGGGAAGACACACTTCATTGAAACTGGGGGACTTTGCAGGCGCCACTGCTCCTCTCTGTACCCAGCCTGCAGTGACCATGCAAGCACAGTATGCGTGCTCCTCAGGGCTCAGCCTTCCCACTAGATGGGGCTTCCTCCTGTGTCTCCCCCATCTGCATCCAGGAGCCCCTTTCAGCAGAAGCCTGTTTACCTCAAGATAGATGATCTTGAACCCATGGCTTCATTAACAAAGCACACAAGGTAGATGGTTGCTATCTACCCACCCAGAACAACTGGCTCCTAAACAAGCTTGTCCAATTGATTTTCACTAAGCCCCCCTCTGCCACTGTTTGCCAGGCACTGGGATATAGAGCAGAGGCATAGCATTTGTCTCCATGGGCATCCTTCCGAGGCAGTCCCCTGCACACAGCCCCACCCTCCCTCTGCCCTGGTGTCCTAGGAGACCCCTGCACCAAACCTACACTTTTCCAATATGAAAAGGGAAGTGACCTGGCTGATCAGTGCTGACCTTTCTAATCATGACAAGCTTCGGAATTCAGGAGAGATGGCTGCAGCCTTCATCTGTCTCCTTGGTTTTCCCAACAAAGCCAACTGACTGTAAAATACAGTTTCCCTTAAACATCTTTTCTGCCTACCTGACTAGTCAACCAGGGTAGCTGTTTCCTGGTCTCCCCAGGGTGTGTCTGGAGTATTTGTCAAGAATACTTCAACTTCCTTCTAAGTGTCCCTGCATCCACTCCAAACTCAGCAGAACTTTGGCATAATGAGAAAGCCCTAAGTCTTTTCAAAACTGACAAACAGGCTTGTTCCTCCATTCCACAGTTATTGATTCAGGGTGTTCTGTGCCAGGCAGTGAGCCTGGCCACCTCAGCCCCCACCCTCAAGGCTGCATTCAGGGCGAGGAAATTGCCATGTGAACACATCCCCACCATTCAGTGTGATGAGTACAGTAGTGGATGCGTGATCATAACACAAAGGGGTTGAGGGGTGGGACACAGCTCAATTCGACCATAAAAGATGAATAGGAGTCATCCAGGAAGGCAGGAACTGGTATAATTTACAACAGGATCAGCTTACTTTACAAGTAATCTCATTCCATTATACCAAACCCTACAAGGTATTGTCAATGCACCCATTTTATAGATGTGTAAGTAAGGTTTGGAGAGGTTAAGTAACTTGCACAAGGTCAGAGTTAGAAACTTGCAAAGAAGAGACAACTCTGTAAGATTTTTTAAATAACAGACCCTAGACCCAGAGCATGAAAGTAAATTTGTTCAAGGTTAGATAGATAGAAGGTGATGGAATCAGGAGTCAAATCCAGGCATCACATTGAGAGCATGGAGGTGG
Source organism: Homo sapiens (assembly GCF_000001405.40). NCBI lineage: Eukaryota > Metazoa > Chordata > Mammalia > Primates > Hominidae > Homo > Homo sapiens. The sequence continues at coordinate 49,603,490 of NC_000010.11, forward strand.
ACAGATTATAGACAATCTTTTATGTTGAGAATCTGGATCTCCCATTGATGATGAAGAGGCTCTTAAGGGTTTTAATTGATGCAGCAACCTCACATCCACTCTAATTCATCCAGCCCAAGAAGTATTAGCCATAGAATCTACTAGTGAAGAAGTAGCAATAATTTTCATCCACAATGTAAATATTTGGGGCAAAGACATTCTGTTTTAAAATGTTGAGAAAAAGACTAATAGAGAAACAAGTAACAGGCAATTCTCAAAAGAGAAAATACAAATGGCCAATAAACATATAAAAAAGTACTCAGCCAATTAAACAATTAAATGATTAAAATGATAATAAATACCATTCTTCTCCCACCAGATTGATAAAATGGAAAAAGACAGATAAGAGCAAATATTGGCATGAATATGAGGAATTGTGTACAAACATCTGCCACTTACACGTGGTATGACATGATTTTTCAACTTTGCAGTGGTGCAAAAGTGATATGCATTCAGTAGTAACCATACTTCAGATTTTGAATTTTGATATTTTCCGGTCTAGTGATATGCTGTACTATACTCTCAAGATGCTGGGGCAGAGGCCACGAGCCACAACTCCCAGTCAGCCATGCAATTACAAGAGAAAACACCCAATACTCCATGATGTGTGACCAGATGATTTTGCCCAATTGTTAGCTAATGGAAGCTTTTTGAGCATGTTTAGGGTAGGCTAAGCTATGATGTTCTGTACATTATGTGTATTAAATGCATTTTCCACTTAACAATATTTTCAGCTTCCAGTGGGTTTATCAGGACATAGTCCCATCATAAGTGGAGGAGGATCTATACTCCTATATGCTGTTTGTGGGAGGACAAGGGAGATACATTTATACTACCACTTTATAGGGCCATTTGGAGACTTAAACTTTAAAATGTGGAGACTGCTAGAATTGACCCAGCAGTCTCCATTGTTTTTCTATCACTTGGGGAAGCACCTCCACACAAACACAAGGAAATCCATCTCAATACTGTAACACCTAGAAATCAGACCTGACCCAATGCCCATCCATAGGGGACAGCTGAAAATACTGGGGCATGTTCATAGCCAGAAATACTCTGCATCGGCAGCTGAGAAAATCCAACTATTTCTACGTAGGCTAAAATGGATATAATGTTGAGTGGAAAACAAGAGAAATACAGAATGATACATATATAACGAAATTTATGTGAATATGTACTTGTTTAAGTATAATGCCACTCATGTTAAATTTTATATGAGCTCATATGTATGTATGGAAACAAATTTAGAAAGGGTTTGGAAAACGCACACCAAAGCAGTAAGGGTGGTGGCATCTGAGAGGTGACCACCACTCAGAACTTTCATGGTGCTCTGATTTCTATGAAAAGAATGCATATATGTATGAATTACATGATTAATTTTCATTCTAATAAATGTAGAGATGGATTTTTAAAAACCACTGACACATCAGTTCTCATGCAAAATGCTATGGCCAGTGCTGTGCAGAATGCCTAACAAGCAGAATACAGATCTTGTCTGCAAGGGGCTCTGAGGTGTAGGGGAACACCTCCAACATTGTGTGGGATACATTTCAGAAGAGGAGTAGAAAATTTGATTGGATGGGGGCATGTTCACAATGTATTGGGAATCAGGGAAGAATATGGCAACCAAGGAGAGGCAAAACTGGGCAGGAACCAAGGCAACATTGATTGAAAGGTGTGGAGGGAGGAGCTCCTGGGGCCTGTAAGGGAAGATGAAGATGGGAAGGGTGGGAGGCATTGTGGAAGGAAGGCCACCATGTGGGGAGATGATGCTGACTCCAGTCCCAGGCAGCAGGGGTCCCTGAGAGGTCTGTGAACAGACTGGAAGCTTGCCTGAAACTTTGCAGAGAAAAGAAGCTTGGCATCCCTGCAGGGGTGGATTGTCAGGGTCTGGAGGCAAGGGACAAGTGAAGGGATTAACTGTCCCACTGTGGGGGAAGATGTAGGATCTGGGCTGGGGGCAGGCAGGGAGTGGTCTCAATGGAGGAGGGAAATGAATCTGAGACATTAATTGGATTGAGACGGAAAGAAAGTGGAGAGAACAGAAACCAAAGGGATTTGGAGGCCATGCTTCCAACGAATGATTCATAGTTAGTGTCAGGGAGCCAGAAAAAAAGCAAGTGAGCAAGGTCCTGTCCCTGGGAGCTGTAGAGAGGAGCCCTGGGGCCCACCCACAAAGCAGCACCTGCAGTCTCTTTCCCTCTCGAAGCCCAGCTATGTTGTGCACAAAGCAAGTCTGGGCACCGAGGACAGGCTGGCCAAGGGCAGGCAGGCAGGCACGTAGTCCTCTGGCTTCCAGCCACCACACTCACAGGTTTCTGGGAAAGGCTGACTGGGGCCACTTTGTTCCTTTGAATCTGAGAATATATGACTGGGGAAGCCTAAATTAATTAAATGATGCTGAGGCCCGCCTGAGCCGGTGCACAGGGGATGGGTTATGGAGCCCTGAGCAAACTGCACCCCTAGCCCCCAGTGCTGGAATCCAGAGAGGCTCATGAGCTCGATTGGAACGAAGCCTGTGCTTAAGTGCTTCCAGAGAGACAAAGAAATAATAAATCAGGAGCAGGTGCCCCACCCACACACTGCCATCACCAACACCAGCCTGCTTCTCCACAGAAATACAGTGGTTTCACCTCTCTGGAACCAGATGTTTCAGGGAAGCAACAAATGGCAAAGCCCTGGAAATGACATGGCCCCACAACCTTCTCAGAAATGAGGCCAGGCTGGGCTGGCACCTCCATCCACAGCAGCACCCCACCACCACAACCCACCCAAGACCTCCAAACACCCCCTAGACCTCACCCAGGCACTGGTGCAGCATGGCTATCCTTCCACCCCTCCCAAACTCCCACACACCAGGACTCCCCCATCCCCAGCAAGCCCCCCTCCCCTGACAGGGCACTGATCCAGCAAGGAAGAAATTTTAGTCCATCAGACTGTGGACACAGTTGTATCTTGTGGATAAAATGAGAAGAAGTGTTGTCAGCTAGAAATCACCAATTTGTCTCTATCCATATAAAATAATAACAATTAAACTCCTACTAGGTATCAAGCATTGGGCTAGACATGTTCAAGTGAGCTATCTCGCAGTCTTTAGCCATCCTGCAGCAGGGCCACATGGTGGCTGGGAGCAGGAAGCTGGAACTAAATCACCTGCATGGGAATCCCATCTTTACCACTTGTGAGCTCTCTGACTGAATACATTACTTTACCTAAGTGTCTTTGCCTATAAGAAAGTAATATGAAGGTTGGTGAGAGAATTCAATGAGTTAGTGCTTATCAAATGCTTAGAACGGTGCCTGATGCCTTATAAGCTCTACTATGTGTCTAGTAAATACGTTCCTTCCTTCCTCTACTCATTCAACTTTAATTGAGTACCAGATATGAACGCTGCCCTAACAGCTGCTATTTCTGGTTGAGAAAGGAGAGAAAAATGCTTCCGTTTTCTCCTACAGGATTGGACAGGAAGTTCTCTGTTGCCTGCAAGTTATGCTCAGATAGAGGAGTCCGGAAAGGAATTTACCAAGCGTTCAAGTGAAGAGGAAGCCAGAGGGGCGGGGCCTCCGTGGGAGGCTTCTTGGTTGCGGTGGGGCCGGGGCCAGCACCCTGGACAGCTCCCGGCGGCTGGCGGGGAGAAGAGGCTTTGCCAGGTCCCATCTCGGCTCAGACCCTCCCGTAGCCTTTTGCTGCAGGGGCCTGACGCCTCCTTGCAACCCCGGCACTCCCGTATTTGGAGCCACGATGGATTGGGGGGGCGTTGCCCTCTGATCTGAAAGTTAGAGAATGAGGGAGTTTAGTGTCTTTGGAGCCTCCTTAGGGAGCCAGCCCAGGACCTTCCTCCTCCCATGGGTCTTGATCTGCTCCTCACCCCTACACTGCCAGCGTGCGGCCACCTTGGAGATGGAGCAGCAGGAGCACGACGCCGTGCCGGGAATAGGGAAGCAGTGTGAGGACCACAAGACAGGTCCCCCAGCCTGGGTTTAATTCCAGGATCTGCTGCTGGGAGCTTGGGCAAGCACCCAGCATCTCCACGCCCAGCTTCCTCACCTGATAAGACCAGGGGAATAGCACCTACACTGCACCAGGATTGCAGGAGAATGGAGTAAAACAGCACACACAATACTCCTGGCACAAAGCAAGTAATAAATGAGTGTGCCTCCTGCCATACAGGAACCGAGGACTGGAGAGCTAGTCATGAGCCCAGAGATACCTGGCTTCATGCTCAGGAACAGCCATGTGGGCCAGAGGGCTGGAGATGTGGTCTGCACCTTGAAGGCCCTGGGAAAGTTCCTGTCCTCTATGATTCCTCTGTTCTTCAGCCACTAGACATAAAAAAAAATTGTCCTTCAAGTCCTCCTTCCTCCTTTCTTTAATCAGACAGGGGAAATAGCATGTGCATAAATAATAATTGTTTTGTAGGCTGGGAGACTGCCCCTTTAAGAGCCTCATAATGGGAGAGTCAGAAGAGCCCAGAGGTCTCAAACGGAAATGACTGGAGAACCAGCAAGTGGCATAAGTGTGTGAAGTCAGCTGGGGCGAGATTGGGATGTGCTGGAGAGTGTGCATGTACTGACGAAAGGCCATCAAATACAATTTAAAATAATTAGCCCACTCCAAAGAGTCTTCTGCAGCACGCACTTCTGCTAAGGGCTGCAGTGAGTGGGCTCTCACCTCAACCTGAACCAGACGGAGGCTGAGGCTGGGCCCCACTGAGGGGCTGTGACTTGCCCAAGGTCATCCAGGGCCAGGCCTGTGCCCACATTGGGACTCTTTTCCTCCCTCAGACAGAGGGCACTTCAGTCACTGCAGAGCAGGTGGCAGCAGCCCTTCAGTGGATGAGTTTCTCCTTTCCCAGGGTGACTGGGTGGGTGAAGGAATTGAGCAACAGGTGGCCAGGCTGCCGCCTCTCACCCTGACACATTGGTCCCCATCCCCTCATCCTACAGCCATCTCAGGGACAGATGGAGACATTCCAATGCCCTCCGGGTCCTCCACCAACCCAGACAGAGCCTGGAGTCACAATGCCCACCTAGCCAGAGGGATCAGCCAGCTAGCCAAGTGCCCCCTGTGTCTTTCATCTGTTCTTCACAAGACCCACAAGTGAAAAATGAGGATAAACCGCACATTCTACACACGATAACAACATAGCAAGTCCTTATACTGCTCTTACTGTGTGCCCGGCCCCCTTAGCAGTAGGTACTATTATTATTCAATTTTACAAAGAAACTAACTGAGGGACAGAGAGGCAAAGTAATTCCCTGCAGGTACTCTAATGAGTACGTGGCAGAGCTGGGAGCCATCCTGGTTGTCTGCCTCGAAAGACCACACTCTTTGCACTGCATCGCGGCACTTCCTGCGGGGTGGGGGGCACAATGGGAGAAGCATCTGCGTCTAATGCTGCTTTACTTTTGAGGCCAGAAAAATGGGAAGGCTCCCCTCTGACTCTGGAAGAGAGACGCAAACCGTAATCTCAACAACACAATCCCCACCTCCAACCTCAGCCGCCCTGGAGCCTCTCTCCCGCCAGTCCGCCCACTGGAACACGGGTTCCATGTGCCATCCAGGGTCAACGCCGCTCTGGGGACGCGTCAGGCCCAGCGCACAGCCTGGGCAGCTCAGCCTGTCAGCTGAGCACGGGCGCCTCAAGGGGTGCGGCCCTCTCAGAAGGAAGGTGAGTCTCCCTGGAGCCCCTGACGACAGCGAAGCGGCTGGGCGCTCTCCGGGGAGTGGGCGCGGCACCCAAGAAGGGTTTCTTACAGTTCCAAGAGAGGACCCCAGCCACAGTCACTCCAGAGCCCACCCGGGGCTTGGAGGAGGCTCTGGAAAATGAGGGATGGGGGAGTGTGCAGAACAGGGGGCGGAGGCTGGCAGGAGCCGAGGGAGGGCTTGGTCGGGTGCGAAGAGTGCCTGGGAGGAGTTAGAGTGGGGAGGGGGTGCGGCGGCGGGGAGAGAAGAGGCGGAGCTGGGGGACCAGACCGCTAAAGGAGAAAGGGGGATTCCAGGCAAGGGGAATGTGGCCAGGCAGTGCGGGAGGGCGGCAGCGGCCAGGCTAATATTCGCGACCCCGACTGGGGCGCGGCAACTTCTGCCCTCAGTCCCCACAAGCTCCCGGCCGCGATTCGCGGCCGAGAAATTCTGCGGAGGGGCCGGTGGGTCAGAGCCAGGCCAGGCAGTTGCTGAGCCTTCCCCTCCCCTCCTGGCGGGAGTGTGTGTGCAAGGGGCCAGGGGGCGGAGTCGGAGAAAGGGTTGGGGGTGTCCGTGTCCAGCGCTCCTCCGGACGCGGCTCCACAATCCAGCTGCGAGAACAGATGGACGCAGCGGCGGCTCACCTCGGGGGCTTCCTGCTCGCTGTGCGCCGAGGTCCAGGCTGAAGCGGAGATCGCAAGCCTCTGGCTCCCGCCTCTCCCAAGGGGCCTCGAGGAACCGGCTGCCGCGCCCCCTTCCCCAAGAGGAGAAGAGCGGGCGCTGACCCCGCGAGTCCTAGAACCGCGGGCGGGGGGCAGGCAGGGGGCGGGGGGCAGAGGGCCAGCTACCGGCGCGGAACGCCCATCCCAGGGGCTGGTTCAAGACTTCCACACCGAGAGCCCTTCCTGGGCCTCCAGCCCTGGAGCATCTGGAGAGCGGACCCCTGCCCGGCCACGCCCCGCCCCCGGCCCCCGCCCCGCCGACGTCGCATTAGCATGAGCGACGTAAGTGGCCCGGGCACCACTCGGGGGCTGGGACTCGCCGCGTCACAGCCCCGAGTGGAAGGGAAAAAAAAAGAGGAGGCGGCGGAGGAGGCAAGAGCCGACGCGAGGGGAGGGGAGCGCAGCGGCGGGGCTAACGGGCGGGCAAGCGGGCGGGCGGCAACAGCATGTCCCTCGGCCAGCGCGGGCGGCCTCTTAGCGCGGCGGGGGCTGCTCTGGGCGCGCCCCGGGCGAAGTGCGCCCAGTCTCCGGCCCCGGCCCCTCGGCGCGCCCGACTTCCCGGCCGCCCCTGAGCCCAGCAGCCGCGGGTCCCGGGATCGGCTAAGAGTAGCTGCAACGCCTCGCCGGACGGAGTCCTTTCCTTTCCCGGGACGCTGGGCCATGAGCTCCGCGGCCACCTGAGGCACAGGGGAGTCTGCTCGGCCAGGACAGCCTCCCCGAAGTCCCGTGCCCTCGCCTCTGCACTGCGGGACGCCAGCGCTCGGCCCTGGCGGAGGCGTCCTCGGAAGAGCATCGGGGTGGGGGCATGGAATCCGCGGAACCTGCGGGCCAGGCCCGGGCGGCGGCCACCAAGCTGTCGGAGGCTGTGGGCGCGGCGCTGCAGGAGCCCCGGCGGCAGAGGCGCCTGGTGCTTGTTATCGTGTGCGTGGCGCTGTTACTGGACAACATGCTGTACATGGTCATCGTGCCCATAGTGCCCGACTACATCGCCCACATGCGCGGGGGCGGCGAGGGCCCCACCCGGACTCCCGAGGTGTGGGAGCCCACCCTGCCGCTGCCCACTCCGGCCAATGCCAGCGCCTACACGGCCAACACCTCGGCGTCCCCGACAGCTGCGTGGCCAGCGGGCTCAGCCCTTCGGCCCCGCTACCCTACGGAGAGCGAAGACGTGAAGATCGGGGTGCTGTTTGCTTCCAAGGCTATCCTGCAGCTGCTAGTGAACCCCTTGAGCGGGCCCTTCATCGACCGCATGAGCTACGACGTGCCGCTGCTGATCGGCCTGGGCGTCATGTTCGCCTCTACAGTCCTGTTCGCCTTCGCCGAGGACTACGCCACGCTGTTCGCGGCGCGCAGCCTGCAGGGCCTGGGCTCAGCCTTCGCCGACACGTCTGGCATAGCCATGATCGCCGATAAGTACCCGGAGGAGCCGGAGCGCAGTCGTGCACTGGGCGTGGCGCTGGCCTTCATTAGCTTCGGAAGCCTAGTGGCCCCGCCCTTCGGGGGCATCCTCTATGAGTTCGCCGGCAAGCGCGTGCCCTTCTTGGTGCTAGCTGCCGTGTCGCTCTTTGACGCGCTGTTGCTGCTGGCAGTGGCCAAACCCTTCTCGGCGGCTGCACGGGCTCGGGCCAACCTGCCAGTGGGCACTCCCATCCACCGCCTCATGCTAGACCCCTACATTGCCGTGGTGGCCGGCGCGCTCACCACCTGTAACATTCCCCTCGCCTTCCTCGAACCCACCATTGCCACGTGGATGAAGCATACGATGGCGGCTTCCGAGTGGGAGATGGGCATGGCCTGGCTGCCGGCCTTCGTGCCTCATGTGCTGGGCGTCTACCTCACCGTGCGCCTGGCGGCGCGCTACCCACACCTGCAGTGGCTGTACGGCGCGCTTGGGCTGGCTGTGATCGGCGCCAGCTCGTGCATCGTGCCCGCCTGCCGCTCCTTCGCGCCGCTAGTGGTCTCACTATGCGGCCTCTGTTTTGGCATAGCCCTAGTCGACACAGCACTGCTGCCCACGCTCGCCTTCCTGGTGGACGTGCGCCATGTCTCAGTCTATGGCAGCGTCTACGCCATCGCCGACATCTCCTATTCGGTGGCCTACGCGCTCGGGCCCATAGTGGCAGGCCACATTGTGCACTCGCTGGGCTTTGAGCAGCTCAGCCTTGGCATGGGACTGGCCAACCTGCTCTATGCTCCCGTCTTGCTGCTGCTCCGCAACGTGGGCCTCCTGACGCGCTCCCGTTCCGAGCGCGATGTGCTGCTTGATGAGCCACCGCAAGGTCTGTACGATGCGGTGCGCCTGCGTGAGCGTCCTGTGTCTGGCCAGGACGGCGAGCCTCGCAGCCCGCCTGGCCCTTTTGATGCGTGCGAGGACGACTACAACTACTACTACACCCGCAGCTAGCATCCCCACTCCTCCTCCAGCCCACCCAACCGCCTTGGGTCAAGGGGGCTGCTCTGCAAGCCCACTGGCCAGCTCTGGCTCAGGGCCCACCTCCTCCAGCGAGTACCCCAGCCACTCCTCAACCTTGACTTCTGCCCAAATCCCCTCCCTGTGACCCGTTCCATATCCCTTTCTCTCTTGTCCAATGGGGCTTGGAGCACCGAGGCCAGCGAAGCCATCGCGCTCCTTGCGGAGGTGAAGAGGACCCTGAGTCCCCACCTGCGGCTCCCCTGTGTAGAGCCTGCATCTGTCTGTCCTTCCTTCCATTGCTCCCAGTGCCAAACTTGGGCCGCTGCACCGCGGCGCCTCCGCCCAAATCAATAAACTGTGTCTGTCCCAGGAGGCCGAGTCTCTTTACTGGTGGGGGGTGCGTGGAGGCGCGCAGGGCCAGAGCAGAGGGGAGGGTGAACTGGGTCTCCAAGTCCCAATCCAGACCTAAGCCAAACTAACACGTAGGCACCTGTAGCTGTTTTTCTACCTGGAAAAGGGGATAGGAAGGAAGCAAACCCAACAAAGGCTGTCACCCACGGTCACCAAGGAGCACCATGCTCCCCTCAGCCCAGGATAGACCCTCTTTTCCAGGCCTAGCGCAGAGCCCGGGGATGCCGCCCGGGGGAGCCTGAGGACCCGCTCCAGCTAGGCACGCCAGGCCCCGCCCTTTGAGGACACGCCCCACACCAGCCTCAGAGCTCTGAGGTGCCTGGGCTGAGCTTCCCTTCAGACCAGAATCCCGCCCCGTTGAGGCTTTGAGAAAGGAGTAGGAGCCGAGCATTCCGGCAGAGGAAGAAAAACGGCCCATCTTTTAGAGTCCGACCTCTGGAAATGTGTGTATGATGTGATGTGTGTGTTCATTAGAGAACTTGTCCTAGGAGGAGTGGGGGAGCCGTGGTTGGTGTTTGCTGTATCCCTGTCAGTCCCGAGGGTCTGAGTCTTGAAGGGAGAGATGCGAGTGTGGGATCTGGTGCCAACCCCCACTGCCACCCTGTCCTGAGTGGGAGCAGCGGCCCAGGACTGTCAGGAAAGTTTCCCATCCTTAGTCCCAGCCCTGAGAGCCTCAAGCCAGCGTTCGCGCAACACTCCATGTCCCGAAGACCGTAGTCTGATGATCGAGGCAGAGTCTTCCCATCATAGCGTGAAGAGGCGGCTGGTCAGGGTCGCCTGTGTGTTAGCTGCGCCTGTGAGGGTCTGCTCTGCTGTTGTGCGCATGTCTGTCCTCGATCTGCGAGTCGGGCTGTGTGTGCCTGGGCGGAGTCTGCCTTTGTCGGTCTGTCTGTGCTATTTCTGTGTGGGGGTCTCTATCTGGGGTGGGGGATGCTTTTGTCTGAGAGGAGAGCCTGCCTCTTGCCGCAGTCCTTAAGCATCCTCAGGTCTGCCATCAGGATTGTCCCAAGTCTGTAGCACCCCACCTCTGCTCCCCACCCCATAGTGCCAGCAGGAATGGGATGGTAACAGAAAGGGAAGTCCTGCAGTGAATATTGATCCCAGTTATTGTTTCTTATTATTATTTTGAAAGATGGTGTAGCAGGGTTTGAGACTGGCCTGGATGGTGGGGAGAGGAGGGCAGCGAGCAGAGACTTCCTCAGACCCAACCCTCTCCAGGATTCAGCAGCAGCACCCCAAGGCTGGAATAATGGGGTTGGGGAAGTGCGGTGACTGGGAAATGCTGAGCTAGGGGCAGGAGGCATGGGCGGGACAGTGTTCTGTGCCCCCTTCTAGAGCCTAAATTTGTTGCCCGAGTTCCTCCGGGAAGCGCTCCGGGTAGATTCTGGGGGCCGGGAGCTGAGATCCCTGGGCGGGGAGCTGGGGAAGGGATGGGGCTGAGGACAGCGAAGAAGAGGGGGCTTGGGGGAGGGGGGAAATGGAAGAGAGAGGAGGGAGGAGGTACAAGAGGAAGGAGAGAAGTGCGGCCAGCTTGCTTTCTCCAGTCGGGTGGCCGCGGGGACCCGGGCGACGTCGGAGGCCCTGCCGGGAACCCAGGCTGCAGCCCCCACCCCCGCGCTGCGACACGCCCCCCACCCCTTCCGGCTCACACCCCCGCCCACACTCCTGAGTGGTGCGGTGCAGCGTCGGCCGAGGCAGCAGAGCCGAGGAGAGCAGGTGAGAAGAAGGGCTGGGCTGGGCTGGCGGAGCGCGGTGCCGGGAGCAAGGGCGGCGGTCGGGGGCTCTATCCAGGGACAGCACCGGGGCCGAGAGGCCCCAGGACTCGTGGAGTCCTCTGAGTCCTGCGCAGCAGCGGCCGTCGGGGGTCAGCTAGGAAGCTGCAGGATTGCGTTGCTTCGGTGCCTGGGCTTGGGGAGGCTTAACCATCAGGGCTTCGGGACTCCAAGCGCATGTTCTCACTTCACTTGGCCCAGCATCTGCTAAGTGACCAGGTCCGCGCTTTCTGTGTCTAGTCGGAGGGTCCTTGGGTCTGACCCGACTCGCCTGAATTGCTGGTTGGCAACCGCTTCTCCCGGGAGCAGGGGGTGGGGAAGGAGGAGCAGTGGCTGGTGGCAAGTCTGAGCCAGGACATAGCCGATGACAGCCTGTGAATGACCGGCCAGACTGGGGTTGGACCTTCGGGGCAGAGCAGGCAGCCCTTGGAAAGCCAGGCTGGCAGGAGCATGGGTGGGAGGCACAAAACACAAACAGACATATATACACATACATCCTCTAGGCATCTGCCCAGGAGTGATGGAGGAAGAAGAGTTGGTAGGTGGGACCACCAGGAAACCATCCCACCCAGCTCTGCCTTCTTCAAGCTCAGGGTCCCTGAAGCCTGACTAGTGTCTCCCGAATGGGGGGGAGGGGGGGGCTCTGGGCCAGAGCAAAAGGAGGCATTGGCTGCATGGTCTGTAGGGCCTTTACCAACCTGACCTTGTCCTTGCTGTCCTCTCAAAAGACTGCCATGCTCCGGTGAATCCTCACCAGGACGCCACCTCTTTCACTTTGCAGTTGGGGGCAGCCCCTACGAACCCACAGCACTGGGAGGCGTGGGAACAAGCCTGTGGAGAGTGTCCCTGCACTGTGCCAGCAAGGGCTTTACATTCTCTGCCCAGCACTGCAAGGCAGCCCCAGGCTCCTCCATCCTTGGGCCTGGTTCATCCATCTTTCTGGACTCTCTGTTCCTGGCAACAACCCTGCCAGGTGCCCATACATGGGCGGTGCTTGCCTCTGGGTAGGGGTGGTGTTGGGTGGGGAGAGGGGTGAGGAAATTAGCTAAACCTCAGCTTTAGACTTGAGAGAATAGAGGGTGGGCTGGTGGAAAACATGAGTATGTGCCTGTGGAGGCTTAGGTTCAGGGGGATCTCAGAGGGTAGCAATTGTGACCCACAGCCTAATAATAACAGTCTTTGCCCTCTTGGCCTGGCTCACTTCTACTGTACCTTCAAAATTAATCTGCCTCTCCCCAGACTAAGGCAGGTGGCCCCTAGGGGCCCTGGCTGCCCAGCCTCCCTGCATACCTCCCTGGGCACTCCTATGGCATCTACACTGGCAGCCTGCAGACCCGAGACTGCCTAGGTCACAACGCCTCCAGCAGGCCCAGAGTCTCCCTGCCCTGGCCACAGGCCAGGCTCCCAATTAGCCCAGATGCATCCTGGAGCACAGGGCCTTAAAGGCCTCCATTCACCCACGCATGCATTCCTTTCCCTCCACCAACGGAGTGAGGGAATTCACCCTACTCCACACCAGAGATGTGGCCGGAATGCAGAGATGAAGCACTGAGCACAGTAGGTATGGTCTTACCCTTGAGAAGCTAGTGGGAAAGAGAGAGTTTGATTGGCAAAGCACTTATCTATTGGGTTCCAGGCAGGAACAAAGGCAGCACTCTGCCAGCAACCCCTGGTGGATTTGGATTGCCCCAGGGTGGTCAGCTGGCCTTGGGTGACAACAGACTCATGAGAGCAGACCCTCACTTTAGGAACCACTCTCTCCCATATGGGGGCCCAGAGAGAACACTGTGGTCAGCACGTACAGGTGGAAGTAGAGACTGGGGCCACGCCTGCAATGAGACCCCTATACACAGCTGTCAGGCTCTGGCCTCCTCATGGGGCTGGGGTGGGGGTCTGTTGGCGGGAGGTGGAGGGTTTGTGACAGGCCTATGTGGCTGCTGTGTTGATGCTTCCCACTTCTTGGTCCCCAGGTCCACACCTCTGCATCCCTGCACCAGGACTCACCAAGACGCCCATCCTGGAAAAGGTCCCCCGTAAGATGGCAGCAAAAACTCCCAGCAGTGAGGAGTCTGTGAGTGACTTTTGGAGCCCTCTCTCAACCCTGCTTTCCCCACCTACATGCCCTTGCTTCTAGAACAGTCCTGAGTGGGACTGGCCCCCAGCATTTGCCTGGCCCCAGCCCTGCCCTCTACTGGCACAAGGCCCAGGCTACAGCTCCACCCCCAGCTTGCTGAGGATCCCAGAAGGGCCTGGAGGGGCTGAGACGGGCCTCAGGGTGCCAAGGAAATGCTAAGAGCTTAACTTCCAAATCCCCTGGCCAGGCTAGGCCCTATCTTTCCTTCCAGGGCCTCTCTTCATCCCAGCTTCCACTTCTGATAGCTTTGAGCCCAGTGATTTTGCCTTAGGGTGGGGCTGAATTCCTACTCCAAGCCCTGCAAGTCCCAGCTCCAGCTGCTATCACTAGTTCAGCCTTGGAGCCTTAGGCACCATGTTCTCCACTGGCCTGAGACAATGCCATCCTCCCTGGGCAGGCATCCTCCCTCCCGCCCCAGCCAGCCTTCGGGTGGCAGAGCAACACACCTGACTTCAGGTGGTTGCATGTGTTTCCCCTCTCCCACACTTGTCTTTTTGCCACTCCTCTTCCCCCTTCCCCCTTCCCCTTTCCCCCAGCCCTCATTTGAAACCCTGAGCAGAATTTTCTGGCTTCTCCCCAAGAAGCTGTTCACTCCATTGCCCTGAATTCTGCAGCTGACAAACATCTATTGTCACCTCTGGTCCACTGGCATGCTTCTCTACCCACCCCATTGGGCTGTGGCTTCCTTCAGAGCAGGCTCTGTTTCTCCATCGTCTCTGAGTCCAGCCCAGGATCTGACTCACATGAACTGCCCAGGAAACATGGAGTTTTGGAGCATTGATCTGAGACTCCCAGGTCCAAAGACACTCCTTAGCACAGGGCCAGAAGTCCAGGAGAGTCTGGGGAGGATCCCTGGGGGGTTGAGATGTCTGAGCTGCGATTTCCTGCTTTATTCCTTTTTACCCACTGCTGATTCCCTGTTAGCCAGGCTAAGTCACAGCGCACTGTCAGAGCCTGGAAGAAGGGGAGCAGTGTCTGGCAGAGGATCTAGCCAGACTTGTGGGCCCTTTTGGCCAGGTCACTAACTGGGCTGGGCTTTCTGTAGGTGCTCACCCACCCATCACACAGACCACCCCCCCCACCGCAAGAGATGGAAGAACAAGATCAGCTGGGTTGGGGGCCCAGACCTGGCTCACTGGGGTTGGGCAGGGCAGTCTGGGATGCTGTCCAGATCCATCCTCGCATCATTCCCCAGGGCAGGAGCAGCCCGTAGTTGGCACTGACACCCCACTGTTGCCAGAGAAGTGAACCCTAGAGGCAGGATCAGACAGGCAGAGGGCCGTCATTCATCCATCAGCAGCAGGGGCAGAGAAGGAGGTGCTTTTAAGGGGCCCATTCACTCTGCAGCCTATGGGGAGGAACCCTTTACTGTCTCATGGAAACTCATCACTGCACAAAGAAGCCCCTGAAGGAAGGTGCCTCACTGTCTACCAGTGTGTCCCAGGAACCATATTGCAGAATTCTGGTCATTAGGGCAGCAATGAATTATGTCTCTTATCCAAAGCCATCTTTTATCCTTCCAAATCTCTCCACAAGAGTACACCCTTCAGGTCCGGAGATCAGCTAGATTCTGGAGCCCCAGCTGAGAACAGTTTATAAATTAAGACTGACCAGGAGACAACAATATCAATAACAGGACTATTTCATCTTAGATCTATCCTTTATGGCTTAAAAGCACTTTCACGTACATTAGCTCTTTAATCCTATGAAAGGCAGGGTTTGCTACCCCCATTTTACAGGAGAAGAAACTGTACAATTTAAGCAATATTATTATAAGTTCTGCCTTCCTATTGTCACTGGCCAAGTGAGGGACAAGAAGAGGAAACGAATGGAAAAGGGAGTGAAAGGGAAGGGAGAGAACGACCCAGGAGAAAGAAGCAGAGTGGACATGGAAGACTGATTTTAGCTCCTAGTCTGCCATCAGATTTGTATGTGACCTTGGACCAGCTGCTCCACTCTCTGGGACTCAGTTTCCTCATTCATAAATGGGAAGTCACAAAATTGAAGCCACACAGAAGCCTTCTGTGGTGAACGCTGCTGGTGAACTGAGAGGCACAGCATGCGTATAGAAGGGTGGAGTTGGGGGTTCTTCCTAGACTCTAGCCACACTTTGGGGCCCCCAAAGAATATGGGTTTCCTCTTGGGAATTCCTCTGGAAGTATAAGATAGCGAGGTCATAACATTTTAGATGTGCCTATTTGAGGCCAGTTGTTCCCCCATTTAATTCTCTCTGTGTTCCTCTCAGGTAGGAATTGTTATTTATGTCCTATGGATGAGGAGCAGAGGCTTGGAGAGATTCGGAGAGGAAGGACATCCACTGCATCCCCACCCCTGCCCCTAACACCCACATGAAACAAAATTCCCTGCCTGGGTTTTATAAGTAGGAGGGACTTATAAGAAGCTCAGGGCATGAATCATCTTCTGAGGAACCCTCTTTTAGAATTCTAGTCATTAGGGCAGCACTGAATTATGTCTCTCATCCAAAACCATCTTTTATCCTTCCAAATCTCTCCCTAAGAGTGCCCCCTTCAGGTCCAGAGATCAATCAGATTCTGGAGCCCCAGCTGGGAACAATCTCTAAATTAAGAGTCACCAGCAGCCAACAATATCAATAACAGGACTATTTCATCTTAGATCCATCCTTTATGGCTTAAAAGCACTTTCATATCTATTTTCTGTTTGATCCTATGAGAGATAGGGGTTACTACTCCCATTCTACAGAGGAAGAAACTGAGGCACAGAGGGAGGCTGATTTGCCCAAGTTTGCAGAGCTGGTCAGTGGCAGGGTCAGGGTAGAAACCCAGGTCTGTCTGATGCCAATATCACCGTATTTTCCTCTGCACTTTATCCCTTTCTGGGGACAGAGCACAATGAGGTCAGGGACGCCAAACAGGAACTTCCTAAATTCATAATTTTGCTGAGCTGAGCCCTAGAAATGGAGGGGTCCCAGGGTAGAGAACAACACAGGGGCAGAACAATACAGATACTAGGGACCAACTTGGGGACAGGCATGGGGCGCACATACTAGAGGCACAATGCCTATGAACCCTTTCTTCCAGGGGCTGCCCAAACTGCCCGTGCCCCCGCTGCAGCAGACCCTGGCCACGTACCTGCAGTGCATGCGACACTTGGTGTCTGAGGAGCAGTTCAGGAAGAGCCAGGCCATTGTGCAGCAGTTTGGGGCCCCTGGTGGCCTCGGCGAGACCCTGCAGCAGAAACTCCTGGAGCGGCAGGAGAAGACAGCCAACTGGGTAAGAGGGGCAGACAAGGAACCCATAGAAGAGGGGCGGGAGGCAGACCTGGAGACAGAGGGATCTCGGTGAGAGGCAGGTAGGGGACAAAGACAGGGCAGAAGGAGAGATGAGGGACAGGGATGGGGGATAGGTGTGGGAACAGGCAGGTGGCATGGATTGGAGGACAGGAAGGGACAAGGATGAGAAACAAACAAGATGAGGAATGGGAAATACGGATAGAGAAAGAGGCGGACAAATCGGGGACAGGAATTGGGACAGATGAGGACAGAGATCGCATTAGGAAAGAAGAGAGGGTGAAAGGCAGGAAGAAGACACCTGTAAGGACAGGCAGAGGACAGCGATGTAGCACCAAGCCACCAGGATGGGGACTGGGACAGAAGAAAGGAGACAGGAGGGCACAAAGGTGAAGGACAGGCCTGGTGGACTGGGAAGCTCCTGGCACATACCTGGGGCTTAGCATATATTTGTGGAATGAATGAATTAATGCTCTGGTGAAGTGTCCCGATTTTCTCTCGGGGCTGTCAGGATGGGACTGTTTGGGGGGATGTGACGGCCTTCCCTGCCCTCCCCGGCAGGTGTCTGAGTACTGGCTGAATGACATGTATCTCAACAACCGCCTGGCCCTGCCTGTCAACTCCAGCCCTGCCGTGATCTTTGCTCGGCAGCACTTCCCTGGCACCGATGACCAGCTGAGGTGAGGCCTTGGTGCTCCTAGCTCATAACCTGGGGACCCACCCAAGGCAGGGGCCCTTACCCCAGTGCCAGCAAAGAAAGGCCAAAGCTGGAGCCTCGGCTGAGCTTCCTGGGGTCAAATGCCCCGAGACAGTGGACGTCCAGGCCATCAGGTGGGGAGCAAGGTTAGGTGTGGCTGCACTCGAGTGACAATCACACAATTAGCCTTAGTCTATATTTATCTTGCAGTGGAATGGACACTCATGGAGGTCATGGGTCCAAATATCCCCACAGCCTCCACCTGGCTGAGGCCCTGGGAGGAGGCGTGTGTCCCTGGACCACGCCAGTACTTGTCCCTGGGAAACACTGCCCCAGGCTGTCTGAGAGGGCCTCTGCTTCCTTCCAGAGCCCCCAGCTCTAAACAGAGGCCCCAGAAGGCTGGAAACAATTCCTCCCTGCCAGCAGCCAGAGCCTGTGCCATCTGCTGTAATTTCAGAGCTCACTGAGCCGTTGGAAGGGCCTCTGGCCGCTAATGACAATGGAGGATGGGTGCAGGGAGAAAGGGTTTCCCTTCTGGAGTCACTCAGAGTCTGGTCTTAAGACCTGAGTGGGGCAAATGGTGGGGACGGTTTAGAGGGAGGGCAGACCAAAGTGGCCCGAGGACAAGAGGCAGGGCCCACCTCTCCTCTGGGCAGGGCTTAGCCATGCTAGGAAGACCTCCCCACCCCACCCTACCAGCTGGCCAGCCTTCCCTCCCACTGTAGCTGGGGTCTCCCCAGGGAAGAAGGAAGGTGTGGACAGATGAATGACTTCTGAAAACAGTTCTCACAATTGCATCTGAGGGGGTATTTTCCTCCTGGTGCAATTAAGCCAGGCCCAGAATCCTGGTATGACAGTTCCCGCTGCTCGTTTCTCCAGTGCCTTTCCCCAAGCACTCGATTTCCTTTTCATTAGTACCGGGGGGTGGGAGGAAAGGGACCAAATTACTGGCTTTTCCCAGGAGAAAATTTTCCACAAGGCCAGGGGTCCTGCCCTGTCCAGACCCAGGGCTGGCTTTTCCAAGGAAGAACTCCACCCTTCACCCTCCACCCCTTCTGGCCTGCTCTGTGGCCTCTCCTAGCTTCCGTCTCCCTCTCTGCTCCCTCTCCTCTTCAAGATGATTCCAGTTTCCTCTCCCTTCCCCAAGAGCTACTCGACCCCCAGTTCTCACCAAAGGACCATTTTGAATCCAAGGCTTGTGGTGGGCTCTCGGCATGGGGCTGGGGGGCAAGAACCACATCTGATTAGTGCAGGAACCACATCTGATTAGTGCACACGGGGGCGGCATACAATGGGCGATCACAGAGTTTGGCAGTGGGGATGAGGGAGGGAGGAGGGAGGGAGAAGGGAGGGAAGAGGAAGGAGATGGAAGGAAGAGGGAAGGAGGGAGGGGAGGCAGAAGGGAGGGAGGGAGGGAGGAAGCCAGGCCCTGGGAGGAAGGGCTCAGGCCTCCCTTCTCCCTGCAGGTTTGCAGCCAGCCTCATCTCTGGTGTACTCAGCTACAAGGCCCTGCTGGACAGGTAGGACTGGGAGGGTGGTGCCCTGTTCCAGCACAGTCTGCCTATGCGTCTATCTCCCTTGCAGGGACCTTGTCTTTTTCCAGCTCTGTATTCCCATTCCTGGCTCCTGGCACAGAGCAGATGTCCCTGCCCCAACCCACTCCCCCACCATCAGGATGACCTTTAGCCTGGCTGGCCTGTCTGTTAACTGTTCCTTTTCCTGTGGCAAGCACCATCCTTCCTTGATCTTTTAAAAATGTCTCCTCCCTCCACACATACGTGCACAGGTGGAGTGAATTCACTTGAAGCTGGAGAACACATAGGAAGGCGGGGAAGGAAGAGTTGTTAGAGTAAGGTGATGGGAGTTCTGCTTTGCCACTTGGAGGAATGGTGTCTCCAGCGGGAGACTGTATCCTCAATCCCACCAAGCTCAGTGGACATGAGGCTGTTCTGACAGATGGAGAGGGCTGCTCAAGCACCGCAGGCTCTCTTTGATTTTAGGAAGAAAGTCCCTCTCCTGGCCAAGCTTAGGAGAGCAGGAGGGTGTCTGAGAGCAGCAGGGAGAGTAAGCGGGTCTGGAGGACCCAAGTCTCTCAAGGTAGAGACTATAAGGGCATTAGAAGCTGGAAGGAGAGAGAGAGGCCCAAAGAAGCATCCCTTGCACAGATGAGGAAGCTGCAGCTCAGAGAGGTTAAGTAACTCATCCATGGTTACACAGCCAGGTGGTGGCAGAGCAAGGAGGGGGCAAGGGGCAAACTTCACTCTTTGTTCAACTTGACTCAATTCAGTCTTTACCCAGCCTTGGGACAGAGGCTCAGACCCACAGCCCCTTCCAGGGTAGGGCTGTTCCCTCTGGAGAGGGGCAGGCAGAGCTCCCAGACTGTCAGGGTGGAGCAGTTCAGGCTGTCCAGGGCATTCTGCACCACACGCTCCTGTGTGCTCTGCTCACTCCTCTCTAAATGCCATGGGTCACTAGGCCCTGGGCTGTTGTCTCCTCATGGTGTGTCTTTGGTCTCTCCCTTCTTCGTGGACAGCATTCTATTTCCTCCCAGAACTCGCCCCTCCAGCTCACCGTCCTGTCTGTTTTCAAACACCATTGTCTTGCTGGGCCTGGGGACTTGGTGCCCATTCATCACTGACTGCCCCCACGAGACCACTTTCCTTCTGATCCCAGACTTTCACATGTGTGTGCACACTCACACAGACACGAATACCCATGCATATCCACGTGGAGGTTCCCATGTCCAATGATTGAAAAGGACTTAAGACTGGAACATTTTCCTGAGTGCCTGTTTTGAACCTTTAATTAATTAATTAATTAATTTACTTATTCACTTTGCAATGTAGTTATGCTGGGAAGAGGAAGAGAAATAAGGCCTCATCCTCCCCTCAAAATGTCCTTAGACTATTGGGCAAGACAGTCACTTAAACAGACACAAAATACAGCTGTGTCCCTTCCCCTGAGTCCCACACTCGCTCATCCAAGCCTCAGCCATCCCCACCGGGGTGTCTCTCAGTCATTACAAATGAGCCAGGAGAGCTTCGCCTCTCCCTCCCCATTCCCCAACTCCTCCCATACCTTGTCGAGCCATGTCCGTAAGTGCACCAGCACATGCCCTGTTGGTGAGTCTGGGAACCTAGAAGTCACCTGTGCTTGTTCTGCTTTCTCCCTTGCACCTTCATGTAACCCATGGTGCTCAGATGTGGTCATTCTCCCTCCCCACTGTGTCCCCAAGCTCCCTCCTCCTTCCCTGCTGCCCTCACAAGACATCACGTTCCTTCTCTGCCACAACCTCCTTCCTTGTTCTTCCTGTGACACCTTTCAGTCCATTCTCCCCATATAAGCAGGGTCAGTAAAACAACAAAATGGAAACCCAGTCATGCCCCTGCGTGCTAAAGCCTCCCAAGGGCTTTCACTGCACCAAGAATAAGGCGATAGCTCCTCTCCACTGCCACTGGAGCCCCACAGGACCTGGCCTGCCCACCTCTCTGGCCCTGTCTTCACTGGGCCTCAGCCCCACTGGCTTCTCTCTGCCTTTGATCAGTGCTTCTCAAGCTGCCTCTGGGGAAGAACCAATATATTTTCTTTCATTTTGTAAAATTTGTGAAAAACAACAAAAAATTGATTACTAGAAAAACGGTATGAAATATGAGACCAAATGTTTTATTACAGGATTCAACAGACATAAAACTCCCATCACATTGCTACAAACATTTCTGGGTTCAGGCATTACACCAAGTCATGGGTCAGTCACAGCAGTTCAGTGCAATACTCATACTTTGAGTTGCAGTGCTTTGGGACACTTCACCCTTAGGGCTCAGCTCAATCAACCTGCCTCAGTGAGACTGCCCCTGGTCACCACCTCCTGTCCCTGCCAACACTCTGTCTCACTACCTGACAGTCTCCTGTTCACTGGTTTGCTGCTTGTGGTCTACTCCCTACCTACACATCCTAGGACTTACACCCCAGTAGAGCAGGAGCTGCATGTCTTATTTGCTGCCATATCCCCACATCCCAGAATGGTGCCTGGCCTATACGGAGGACGTGCTTCACAAATATTTGTTGGCTGAAAGAGTGGAAGGAAGGAAGGATGGATGGACGGATGGATGGATGGATGGATGGATGGAAAGATGGATGGATGGTGGATAGATGGGTGGATGGTGGATGGATGGGTCGATGGAAGGATGGATGGATGCTTGGTGGATGGATGGGTGGATGCAAGGATAGATGGATGGTGGATAGATGTGTGGATGGTGGATAGATGAGTGGGTGGTGGGTGGAAGGAGGGATGGATGTTTCGTGGTAGAAGTATGGTAGATGTATGGATATATGGATGGATGATGGATAGATGGATGGGTGGATGGATGGAAGAAAGGGAGGGAGAAAGGAAGGATAGGCACAAGGCATGCTGAGACCAGAGGGAAAAAGAACTTCCTGCATTGACCTCAGAAGAGGCTTCTAAAAGAGATGATAAAGGAGTAGGCTCTTGAAGGAGGGGAAGGAGTTTTCTGAATAGAACAGTTGAGTTCTGGGGTTGGGGCAAAGGCACGCCGAGAGAAGATCAGCATAAGCAAAGATGCAGAAGGCTAACTGGCAGGCTTTGCACATGCCGTGCATGAGGCAGAGGTTTGAGAAAACTCTGAGGGTCTCCACGTGTTGTGGAAATGGGGCCTCCACTACTTTAAAAAGTGGAGAATTGAGCTCTGCATCTGCCATGATGATGCAGTTCTGGGTTCTGTGCCCCATTTTGCCTGATCAAGTTACAATAAAACCCATTCTCTGTCTCCCCTCACCACCCACCATCCCCTCGTGGCTGCCTCCCTTCCCACTCCTCTCCTTCAGCCACTCCATTCCCACTGACTGTGCCAAAGGCCAGCTGTCAGGGCAGCCCCTTTGCATGAAGCAATACTATGGGCTCTTCTCCTCCTACCGGCTCCCCGGCCATACCCAGGACACGCTGGTGGCTCAGAACAGCAGCATCATGCCGGAGCCTGAGCACGTCATCGTAGCCTGCTGCAATCAGGTAAGCAACCCCTTGTCTTGGTGAGGGAGGGCACAGAGCATACAGTGGCCATGCGTTCACGTCCATTACCTTCTCCGAGGGGGCTCAGCCTCCTTCCCTGAGTCACACAGGGAGCTGGGGCACCATGTCTCCAAAGTGGGGCCCCTACTTCCAGTCAGTCCCATGTCTCTCCACCAGTTGCCTTCTAAGAATGAGAGCCGTCAGTTTGAGAATATCCTCACTGGACTCTCACTTCAGCACTGATGCACTGAGGGTCATGATCGAGACCTCCACCTGTACATCTGTTCTTTTCCATGCAGTCACCCAGGCTCTGGCCTTTCTGGAGACCACACACAGACAGACAGTGTTACAGACTGACAAATAGGACCTTTCATGTGTCAGCCTGTGGGCTCAGCACTTAACATGCATTCATCCCACTTAATCCTCACAGTGACCATGCAGAGGGGGCCTTAGGATCTCTGTGTGACAGTTGAGGACATGAGACTCAGACAAGTTAAGTGGTCTGTCCAAGAGTGGGAAGGAATCCTGGGTCTGGCCAGTGCCCTAAGGTCATGCTCTACCCCCTGCAGCTCAGGTCCTCAGACTGGGTTCCACAGAGCCAACAAGGACCCATGGGTCCTGGGGGACAGGCTGAGCATGAGGGCTCCTGACCTCTTCCCTGTGCCCACTGCACTATATATTCCATATATTGAGCTTCACATAAATATTTCCTCTGACAAACAGTTTTGTTTTTGTTTTTGCTTTGCTAAAACCCAAGTTTGGCAACCATCCCAGGGACTCCCCTGGTACTTGCTCTACAATGTGATCCTGGGCTCTCCTCACATTTTTAGTAAGTTGGGAGCTCTGTGGAGCCCTGACATCTGAGGGCAGCTGTGACCTCTGTTCCTAGATTTGAAGGCCATCTAGGAGCTCTCGCAGCCCACCTGACACCTTGGCCATAGACCAAGGACGTTTCCCCATCTTCATTCAAAAGTCAAGCCAAGTATTTCCCAGCTCCCACAGGCCACCGTATCCACCTCTTCCAGACATGCTCTGGGCCCCTGCACAAGACCAGGCCATACAGACACTGCTAGGGGGTTGGAGGGGAAGGGAAAACAAGGTACTCATGTCAATCAGCTGAAAAGTGTATCTTGACCTGGGTCTAGGAATAGACCCTTCACAAAGCCCAAGGCTCTAGCCTTCAAAGCTACAAAATGACAAAACCACAGGGCTGACATACAAAGCACATGTAGGTATACATGTGAAGGTGCACACACATGCACACATGTGTAGGTGCACATGCACGCATGGTGTGTGTTGGTTTTCCATTTTAATCTTCCTCTGCATATGATTGCTGGCTTGCTTTTTTTCCTCCACTCACCAGTGTGTTTAAGGCCCATCACTGTGGCTCTATCTGTTGCTAATTCACTCTTTTCAATGGCTGGGTAGACATGCCCTAGACATATACACCACATTTCACTTAGCCATTCCCCTTCTGGAGAACAGTGAGGCTCTTGCTACCATTTTGCTGTTGCAAACAAGGCCGAGAGGCACATTCCTCGTGTCTTCCGGTACACACGGGTACGTTTCTCTAAGCCTCAGGCTAAAATATGCATTTATAAGTGCAATTGCTTAGTCATAGGTATGCACATTTTTAGTTTTGATAGACACTGCCCTCCAACAGTAGCTGTGCCAATTTATATTCCATTCCCCACAAACATAATGGATTCCGTGAACCATGAAACACATTTTCTTTTGGCTAAGTTTAATGTTGCCTTCTTTGATTGGGGGCAGCGTGGAATCCAGCACAGTCAACAGCCTTGGCTTGGTCCCTAAACTGAGACTAGAACCACCAAACACCTTGGGAACCTTGGGCCTGAGCATCCCTGCCCCAAGCTTACCTGTGAAGGCTGAGTGAAGGCCTGGTGCCACGGGCCACCCAACAAGTGACATGTTTGACCTGTTTACCCCACAGTTCTTTGTCTTGGATGTTGTCATTAATTTCCGCCGTCTCAGTGAGGGGGATCTGTTCACTCAGTTGAGAAAGATAGTCAAAATGGCTTCCAACGAGGACGAGCGTTTGCCTCCAATTGGCCTGCTGACGTCTGACGGGAGGAGCGAGTGGGCCGAGGCCAGGACGGTCCTCGTGAAAGGTCAGCCGCAGTGCCCAGCACATCTCCATGCCCATCTCATGCTCGTGCCCATTGGCTTTCCCTCCTCTAGGGTTGGGCCAGGGCCTCATCCCCATCAGCCATAGTGTGGGAGCTCAGGGCCCACAGCATGCCCTGCGGCCAGCCACAGTGCCTTGCCACCGAAGCCACCTTTTGTGCCCTCGTGTTCCATCTGACAGTATCTGGCTTTCTTGGTGGGACTAACTAGTGCTGGAATTGGGGATGTCTGAGAATACTGGGCGGGGCGGGGGAGTTAGCTGGAGGAAGGCTGGCTGCAAGTGAGCAGGTGTGTTTTCCTGGTGGGTGGCGCTCACTGATAGTGGCTGGGGGAGTCGCTGAATGGGGGTGTGGGATGGAGCCTGCCTCTGGGAAAGTGGTTCACCACCTCTTTCACCTGATCTCTCCATCCTGGGACTCTTCATCTTCAAGCTGTCCCTTATCTTGTGGCACTGTTCTGATGAAAGTCTCCAAGCATTCCCATAAGAAAGCCAGGAATATTCTTGAAAATTTTTCATCACCCTTCTGGAAACTACTTTCAAATCCAAAGCTGGTCCTATTCCAGGAGCTGATGGAATGCTCTCCTTCCTTGCCCATGTTAGAGACACTGGATGAGAAGCAAGACTTCTGTGAGTCTTTATTTACCCCTCAGAATTTTACTGGGTCAGGCAATCTATTCAGACTCTCCACATCTGTTACTGAGGGCCCTGGGCTTGGCTCAGGGAGTATGGGAGACAAAGGAGTTGAGGCCTCTACCCAAGAGCAGCCCCATGATGGGAACAGGAAGAGGGGGCATGGGGAGGAGACTCACATCCAGGTGCATGCAGTGCTGACCCACTTCAGACAGGCGTCAAAAACGTGCTCCAGGACTTCAGAGAGGGGACGGAGCCCTTCCGAGTGGGATTGTGAAAGGCTCTGTTAGAAGAGGTGGGAATGGAACAAAGCCCCATGGCATGAGTGAGAAAGGCTGGAGGGAAGGATGGTACCCAGGCAGGCAGACCAACCCTGGGCAAAGCCCGAGGCCCAGCAGGGACACACCCACCTTACCCCCAGGGTGAGGAGGAGAATAGCTGCCCAGCAAAGGTGGCCTGAGCCGGATGTACTGGGCCTATTTTTTCTAACAGCCACTTGCATTTTCTGGTCTCTCTCTAGAAGGGTCTTCCCCCAGATCCAGCTGGCTCCTTGCCGCACGCAGAGCTCAGCCCAGGTGTCCGGCCTCAGGCCTGCCTTGGGCATCCTTCCCGCACACTCTGTCACTGTGGCCCGTTCGCTTACCTTGACTCTGTTGCTCACTCTCTGAGGACAACTTTGCATTTGTTTGATAAATGCTGATTATCTGCCTTTCCCCCCACCTCCTACCCACTGCCTATAAGGTCAGAAGGACAGGGGCCTTGTCTGTTTGGTTTAATTTCTGAGAAACACAGTCTGGGCCCAGTTACATTTATTAAATAAAAGAGTGAAGGGTGATTAAAAATGCCAGGCCCCAGACTTATTCCCCGACTTACCAATTAATTATTCTTTCATCCAATTATTGGGCACCTCCTGAATGCTGTCATAAATAGGGGGCTGCAGGAGCCAAAGAGGGGTGTGAGAGCTGACTGCCCTCCCGGACCTAACCTCGTGCTGGAGAATTAATAACTTAGCATTCCGCAGTGAGTTAATTCCCTCGGGAGACCATGGTGTAATCAAATCCCACTCTTCTCCCCTTCAGGGACAGAGACAGGCATCAAAATAATCGCCTCTGCCTCCAGCATAGTTTCCACTTTATTAGCAGGCCAGGCCCAAGACACGCCCTTCAGGGCTGGCTGGATTGCCCCAAGGTCTGAGCACTTGGGCTGCAGATCAGAATTGATTTGTTAATGGCACTTGATCTGGCTTTCTGAATGGAAGTGCTGTTTCTGAGGGAAATGCGACAGAAAGGAGGGGACACATGCGCCTCCCCTTGGGTAATCCGATTAATCCAGTTAGCGCCAACTGTGTCATCTACACAACAGGAAACTGATCCTTCACAGATCCCCCCTCCCCAGAGCAGCCCTGCCTATGGAACAGAAACAGAGAGACCATTTACAAAATGATTTCGGTTTCCCAGTGAAAGAGTATGGCAGCTTGGGACAGGGTTGAGAGTGAAGATGGAGAGACCAGTGACGTCAAGGCCATTGAAAGCGAGAACAATTCCTGGGCTTTTTATCCGAGCCGTGAGTGGATGTTAGTGCCATTTAGTAAGATGGGAAACAGGGTCGGGGAGTGGGTACAGGATGGAGAAATCATTGCCACACATGTTGGGTTAGAGGTGCTTGGGTCATCTGGGTGGAGACGTCAAGCTTAATATATATGTTTGGAGCCCAAGGGAGAGGTCAGTACAGAGCAATAAATTTGAGGGACATCAGCGCATAAATGATCCTTAAAGTCATGGACCTGGGTGAGATAATCTAGAAACAGAAGAACAGGGAGCCTGGAGGTCAGGTAGAGAAGGATGCAAAGGGGATTGAGAAAGAGTAGCCCATGAAGTAAAGGAAAGCCAGAAGAGTCACAAAGATTCAAGACAGAGGGAACGGCCAGCCACATGGAATGCTGTGGAGAGCTGGAGGAGGAACAGGACACAGGGGACCCGGCTTGGCAACCCTGAAGTTGTCACTGGGCTTACTGAGGGTCAGACTGGAGTAGCAGGAGAACAAATGCTTGCACACTGACAGAAGTGATCCAACAGCAGAAAGAAATTGTCGATGAGGCAGTCAGTGAGTTGAACCAGTGAGTATGGTCGACTTTTTCTCAGACATTTTGACACTAAAAGGAGCAGAAAAATGAGGGAGTTGCTAAAAGAGGATGAGGGTCAAGGGAGGTGTTTTTAGGAGGAGAGACAAATGTATGGAAGGAATTTAGTAAAAGAAATTGATGAAGAGATAGGAGATGAATGGAGGGGTGGAATTCTTGCAAAGGCAAAAGGAGATAGAACTCAGAAAATAAGAGGCCTTTGGTTGGTACAGGGTGAAGTGGAAAGCTTGGGCCTGAGGCAGCAGAGGTAGGAGCATGCAGAGGCTCCCAACTGGTACCTCCTGGTCTCAGATCACAACCTTGAGATAAGAGGCGGGCAGTTGGATGTTGAAGATGAAATCGACTGTGTGAAATAGCCTCCTGGAAAGTGGGAAAGAAGACTTGAAAAACTTGATAAGATTTATGGACTGTGTTGAGCTCATATATGAAGGTTCAAAGTGATACATTTTAGGAGAGGCTAATTAACATTGTTATGTGATCTTCCCCACCAACGCTCAGCTCCTCAGGTTCAGCCAGAGTTGGTGAGTGTAACTGGTAGGGACGGTGAAGGTGTGGCCAAGAACGGTCATGCTGGAATCTGAGCTGAGTAAGGAAGTGTGTTCAAGTCTGCTCAGCAGGTTCAAGTCTGCTCAGGCAGCCGTAACAAAGTACCACAGACTGGGAGGCTTCAACAACAGACACCTGCTATCTTACAGTTTAGCAGGTGGGTTTCTCCTGACACCTCTCTCCTTGGCTTGTCGATGCCACCTTCTCTGTGTGTCTTCATGTGGTCTTGCCTCTGTGCGTATCTGCATCCTAATCTCTTCTTATAAGGTGACCAGTCATATGGGATTAGGCTTCACCCAAATGGCCTAGTGTAACTTAATTGTCTCTTTAAAGGTCCCATCTCCAAATACAGTTACATTCTGAGCTTCTGGGAGTTAGGACTTCAACACAGGAATTTTGGAACGACACAATTTGGCCCATAAGAGGAATGAAGTGACAGACAGGGTAAATGACAGATGGTGAGAGCATAGCAGGGCCGAGGGGTTTGGCCGTCTCAGTGACATGAGATGTGTTCAGTGGGTATCAGAGGATGTGAACTAGAAAGCCAGGAATGTGGTCAGAGTGTGGGATGCTTGAAACTGAGACTTTAGAGGTGGTGGGCTCATGGTAGAGAGAAGTTCCCAGATGTGATACTGGCCATGGGTGCAGGGGTGAGACTGTCAAAGGTGTGGAGATGGAGGAGTTGGGAGAGGAGGATGGAGACTGGGCGTCCACATGGATGCACATACTACCATAACGATGATTCCAGTAGCATGGGGGAAGCAGGTGAATTGAGAGCCCAGATATTCATGATGGGGACCTAGGAAGATATTGGCGCAGCACAGAAACAAGGGGGATGATGGTTATTGGGGGGGTAAAACCTAACAGCTCCAGCTCCAAAACAAAGTGGGATGAGGGAGGGGGAGTTGTTTAGAAGCAGGAACAGTAGAAGGAAGCTGTCTACCCCACCTGGCCCTGGGGTGCATGAGTGTGGAGGAAAACAACAGCATGCTTGAGAGGGTGGCAGGGGAGCGGGCACCTCAGGGGAGCACCCCTCGGGAAGTGCCACATTGCAGTTGAGGCAAAGCTGGGCAGACACCTACAGAAGAGTTTAGCCATGCAGGGGAATGGCCCGTCTGAGACAGGCATGAAGCGCTCCAGAAGGAGTAAAGGACAAGTGTGAGGACTGCATGCGCGTAGAGGACACATGGCCTGGGGAGTGGGGTGATGGGGGAGCCAGGGAGCCCCCAGGGTGGTTGCCTAGTGTGGCTGTTGGGGCTGAGGTGCTTTCTCACCCACAGCAGTATCCTGATTAACTCCACGGAAAGGGTTGAGCTATTTTAGGGGAGCATAGCTCCCAACCCTCTCAGCTGAAGCCCTAAGATCCTGCCCCCACTTCCTGGAGCCTGGGTACAGGGACAGTGCTCATGGGCACAGAGTCCAGGCAAGCACTCACTGGCAGGAGGCCTTGGCCAAGCTGAGCTCCTCTCAGCCTGGTGGAGGTCTAGACCAAGGAGACTGCGCTCAGATGAAACACTTCCCCGGATTCTCATGTGGTCAACTAAGGCCTGGGGCAGGGGCTTTTCCACCCCGACCCTCCATTTTATCAACCTCTCTCCTTCAAGACACTGCCCTTGAGCCTTCACCCTGCCCCCAACCAGGATGACTCCCTCCTGTGAGCCCCAGGCTGCTTAGCCTGACCCTCTGCCACGACACTGAGGGCATGAGGCCCACAGGGTTCCAGGGACTGCCAGGGTGGCACAGCCCACGCGCAGGGGAGCAGGGCTGCCTGCCGCACCCCTCAGCTCCAGCTCAGACATGGGCTCAGACACGGTGCAGGAGTGTGTGCACTGACATCAACGAAGGTGGCCTGATCATCCACAGGCCACTACCAGTGTCCTCTGGGGGCCCAAAGCACCAGGATACACAGGCTAAACCAAAGCAGCAATTCAGACAGATTCCTGAGGGGCTGGGAGGCCACGTCCACAGAGGAACTTGAAGCTAAAGCCAGGTGTGCTGAGGCCAGTGTGACTCAGCCCTAATTGCAGACTGGGGTTGGATGATGACATCAGGATTGTCTAGAGCATTCCTTAATAAAACAAAATAAAACAGATTCCCGGGCCCCAGTGCTTTTCCAGAGGGACAGAGTGGGGCCAAGGAATCTATTTTTATAGCACTCTGGTGTTTTCATGTGCAGGCCAGGCTGGGACCTGCTTACTCGGATATTAGCAGAGCATCCAGGTCCCCCTCTGGCTTGCTCTTTCCTGGGCACCTTCTGTCTTTTGTTACACCTGCGAGGTGGGATTTTATTCCCACTGAACCGAGGAAGAGGCTATGTCTGTCTCCTTTAGGGGTGGCCGGGGGTGAAGCAGGATCTGACACTGGAAGGGAGCATCTGCCTAGCCAGCCTGAGACCTGCAGTGCCAGGGAGGCCAGGTGGGATTCTGAAGACAGGCTTGGGGCCTCAGAGGGAGCCTGCACACCCTATTAGGACCTCCCTCCCCACTGCCTCGAAGCTGTGGCCTTCCTGAACCCAGGAGGAGCCAACCCGTTATCCTGGCCTGGAAATTTAATTAGACATTCAGCCCCGAGTCTGGGAGACTACAGCACTTGTCAATTTGTAGGAAAAGAATGGCCAGCTTGGAGAGCCCCCCAGCCCTCTGGCTTTCCTGGGTGCTGCCGTGAAGAGCCTGTGACCAGACCTCAGAGGCAGATGCTTTTCGTTTACACAGTCCCGTAAATATTTATCCCCGACAGTCAATTAGAGCTGAGCCACTGCTTGCAAGGAGGGAACTGACAGAAGGCGGCTACAGCTGCAGAAGGCCATGGTCATGGTTTACAAGAACCACTCAGGATGGGGGCATTTTGCTATTTACGTATCGTCATCCAGAGCTAGGCATGTCTGCTGATTTTAAAACCAATTACACATTAGCACTAACAGCCTCTCTGATTTAATTGGCCCAGAAATACCTCCCGAGCTCTCAAGACTGAATGTGATTTTCTTGCTCTGGAAAGGGGCTGGGCCAATGCCTCCCTCCTTCAGTAGGAGAATGAAGGCCTTTAGGGACAAGAGCATCCAGGCAGGAAAGGCAAGTGGTCCAGGGCAAGAGGCCTGCCCTTAACCTACCACGGCTGCTGTCTCCTGGGGCCTGGGCTTCCTAGTCTATATGAAGATAGCAGTCTGCCCTGTGGGCAGGACCAAGGGGATGGGCGGTAAAGCAGATGGGCTGGCGCCTGGCACACAGAGGGTGTTGGCTAAATGGTAGCTCTTATTAGATTTGGGGATCACGCTGGGGATGCTTTGCCCAATGCCCACAACCCCTCTGGAAAAATCTGGTGAACTTGAACATGAGTACTGTCCTTGTGGTCAGAGGCAGGGGCCCGTGGGCCCTCAGGCTGCTTTGCTCTTTGCATGGAATCCTAATCCCTATGAACTCTGTGGTGCATTTTGCTTTCCCTGGGCCCTCCACGTACCACTCTCTCTGTGTGCACACACACTGGGCTCCTCTCTTTACCTTCTCCCTAGTCACCATCTCTCTGGCCCTCGTTTTCCATTTTATGTGCAGCACAGTAATGTTTGGGGTACAAGATAGCTAGGAGGTGGTTTTTTTTGTTTTGTTTTTGTTTTTGTTTTTGTATCTCCTGCCTTTCTCCCCCACCATCCTTTCCCCCAGTTCTGGAAGCCTGACAGCTCTTTATACCCTCTGCCTTTGTGGGAAGAGTGGTTAGAACCCAGAAGAAAGAACACTTCTTGGTTCTTAAGTTCTTTTTTGAAATTAAATTGTACTTATTTTGGGATAACTGAAGATTAACATCCAGTTGTAAGAAGTAATACAGAGATCTCATATGTACCCATCTTCCACCAATGGTAGCATTTTCCAAAACTATAGTACAATATCACAACCAGGATACTGACATTGATACAGTCAAGATACGGAACATTCCATCACCACCAGGATCCCTCTTGCTGCCCTTTTATAACCACACCCACCTCACCCCCTTCTTAACTCCTGGGCAACCACAAATCTGTTCTCTATTTCAATAATTTTATTGCTTCAGGAATATTATATACATGAAATCATATAGCATGTATGATGCAGGGTCTGGCTTTTTTCAAACAGTATAATTCTCCGGATGGAGATTTATCCAAATCGTTGCATGTATCAACAGTTCTTTCCTTTTTATTGCTGAGTGATATTCCATGGTGCTAGGTATCAGTTTCTTTCATTGTTTACCCATCAAAGGACATCCGGGTTGTTTCCAGTTTTGAGCTATTAAAGCTACTGTGAACATTTGTGTACAGGTTTTTGTGTGAACCTATGTTTTCACTTACTGGAAGAAAATGCCCAGGAATGAAATTTCTAGGTCACACCATAATAGTATGTTTAGTTTTTTAAGAAACTGCTAAAATGTTTTCCAGAGTGACTGTACCATTTTACATTCCTGTCAGCAATATATGTATAATCCAGTTTCTATGCATCTTTGCCAGCATTTGGTGGTGTCACTTTTTTTTATTTTAACCATTTTGATAGGTGTGAAGACAATGCAATCCACCACATTAACAGACTAAAGAAAAAAATAACATGATTATATTAATCAATACAGTAAAAGCATTTGGCAAAATTCAACAACCATTCATGATAAAATCTCTTAGAGAACTAGGACCAGAAAGGAACTTGCTCGACCTGATACGGAACATCTACAAAAAGCTTATAGCTAACATCTTATTTAAAGGTGAAAGACTGAATGCTTTCCCCCTAAGATCAGTAATAAGAGGATACCTACTCTTACCACTCTGTTTAACACAGTATTGGAGTTCTGGCCAGTGCATTAAGGCAAGAAAAGGGAATAAAAGGGATACAGATCAGAAAGAAAAAAATTAAATGATCCCTACTTTTATGAAATGATTATGTATGTAGAAAATAGTAGCAAATCTACAACTCCAAAAACTCCTAGAATACATGAATTCAGCAAGGTTGCAATATAAAAGATTAACGTACAAAACTCAATTATAGTCTTTCGCCTTTAAATATGATGTTAGCTATAAGCTTTTTGTAGATGTTCTTTATCAAGTCAAGGAAGTTCCCTTCTGGTACTAGTTCAATAAGAGATTTTATCATGAATGGATGTTCAATTTTGTCAAATGTTTTTACTGTATCAATTAATGTAATCATGTTATTTTTTTCTTTAGTCTGTTAATGTGGTGGGCTACATTGATTGATTTTCAGATATTGAACCAGGCTTGCATCCCTGAAATGAGCCCCAGTTGGTCATGGTGTATAATTCTTTTCATATATTGCTTAATTCTACCTGCTAATATGTAGTTCAGTATTTTTTCCATCTATATTTGTGAGGGCCACTGGTCTATAGTTGGTTTGGTTTTTTGTTTGTTGTACTGTATTTATCTTCTTTTGGTATCAGGATACCTGTTTCGTAAAATAAATTGGGAAATGTTCCCTCCTCTTATATTTTCTGAAAGAGATTGTATAAATGTGGTATCAATTCTTCCTTAAATGTTTGGTAGAATTTTTCAGTGAAATTATTTGGGCCTGAAGATTTCTTTTTGGGGAGTTTTAATGTTGCTAATTCAATACCCTTAACTCATTTATGCCTAGTGTTCCATTATTAGAACGCTAAGCTTGTGGGAGTTATTTATGTCCTACTGCTTAAGGTCATCACCAAGGTCTGATTTTTCACACAAAAAAATTTGCAACCTCCAGCATAAACGGGTTAATAATTATAGGGCTATTCAAATAATCATAATATTCAATGCATTGTGGTAGTTTATACTTTTCAAGGGATTGGTCCATTTCATGTAAGTTGTCAGATTTATGTGTATAGAATTGTTCATAGTATCCTCTTATTATACTTTTGATGTCTGCAGGGTCTGTAGTGATATCCTGTTTCATTCCTGATATTGGTGGTTGTGTCTTTCTCCCTCTCTTTTTTTTTTTGTCAGTCTCTCTATGAATTTGATTGATCTTTTAAAATAACTACCTTTCTTTTTGTTGATTTTTTTTCCTGTTTTCAACTGTATTGATTTCTGCTCTTTATTATTTCCTTCATCTTGCTTGCTTTGGGTTTTTTTCTGCTCTTCTTTTTCTAGGTTCTTCAGGTAAGAAATTATTGATTTGAGACTTTTCTAATGTAAGCATTTAATGCTATAAATTTCCCTCTCATCAATACTTTAGCTATATCTCACAAATTTTCATATGGTGTATTTTAGTTTTCATTCATTTCAGTGTATTTTTTAAATTTCCCTTAAAACTCTGATATGGTTTGTCTCTAAGTCTCCACCCAAATCTCATCTCGAATTGTAATCCCCACATGTCAAGGGAGGGACCCGGTGAGAGGTGATTGGATCATGAGAGCGGTTTCCCCCATGCTGTTCTCATGACAGTCAGTGAGTTCCCAGGAGATCTGATGGTTTAAAAGTGCTTGGCAGTCCCCCCCTTGTTCTCTGTCTCTCCTGCTGCCATGGGAAGAAGGTCCTTGCTTCCCCTTCGCGTTCTGCCATGATTGTAAATTTCCTGATGCCTCCCCAGCCACGTGAAACTGTGAGTAAATCAAACCTTTTTATTCATAAATTACCCAGTCTTAGGCAGTTCTTTAGAGCAGTGTGAAAACAGACTAATACAGACTCCCTCTTTGACCCATTCATTGTTTAGAAGTATGTTGTTTAGTTTCCAAATGTTTGGAACTTTTTATGTTATTTTTCTGTTACTGATTTCTACTTTGATTCCACTGTGGTCAGATAACATATTTTGAATGACTTTAATTCTTTTCAATTTGTTGAGTGTTGTTTTATGGCCCTGGGTATAGTCTATCTTGGCATATGTTCGATGGGTATTTGAAGAGAATGATTGATGATATTGTTGATTTCTTCTACGTCCTTGCTGAATTTCTGTCTAGTCGTTCTAACAACTGTTGAGAGCGGTGTTACAGTCTCCAAGTACAATTGTGGATTTGGCTATTTCTCCTTTCAGTTCTGTCAGAGTTTGTTTAACATATTTTATAGTATGCTTGGTATAGATGCATTTAGGGTTGCCATGTCTTCTTGGAGGATTTATCCTTCACTTTTATATAATGCCCTTCTATGTCTCTGGTAAGTTTTCTTTGCTCTAAAGTGTACTTTACCTGACATTAAGATAGCCATTTCTGCTTTCTTTTGATTAATGTTTGCATGCTATATATTTTTCCTTCCTTTTACTTATAACCAAACTATATCATTATATTTGATGTGCACTTCTTGTAGACAGCATATAGCTGGGTAATGTTTTGTCGTATATTCCATCAATCTCTGTCTTCTAATTGGTGTATTTAGAACATTTACACTTTACATAATTATCGATGTGTTAGGGCTTAACTCTGATATTTTAGTTTTTATTTTCTGTTTTTCAATTATTGTTCTCTTTCTCTTGCCTTCGTGTGGGTTACCCGAACATTTTTTAGAATTCAATTTTGATATACCTGTAACTTTTTTAAAATTATCTGTTTGTATAGCTTTTTCTAACAGTTTCTGTAGGTATTACCTTGTATATACATAACTTATCACAGTTTATTAGTGTTGAAATGTTACCAGTTCTAGTGAAGTGTAGAAAGCTTACCACCTTTTATTCTCCTTTGTTTATAATACACTTGTCTTAAATATTATCTCTATATACATTTAGAACCACATCAGGCAATTTTATGATTTTTGCTTCAACATTGAAACACAGTTTAGAAGACTTAAAAGGAGAATGAAAATGAATTTATTTACTCAGATATTTACCTTTCCTATTGTTCTTTCTTTCTTCTTGATATTCCAATGTTTCTCTTTTTACCATTTCTTTTCTTTTAAAAAAAACTTTCTTAGGGACCAGCTGCAGTGGCTCACGCCTGTAATCCCAGCACTTTGGGAGGCTGAGGAGGGTGGATCGTGAGGTCAGGAGTTCAAGACCAGCCTGGCCAAGTAGAGACAAACCCTGTCTCTACTAATAATACAAAAATTAGCCTGGCGTGGTGGCAGGCGCCTGTAATCCCAGCCACTCAGGAGGCTGAGGCAGAGAATTGCTTGAACCTGGGAGGCGGAAGTTGCAGTGAGCCGAGATTGGGCCACTGCACTCTCCAGCTTGGGTGACAGAGCGAGACTCCATTTCAAAACACCAAAACCAAAAACAAACAAACAAAAAAACACTTTATTTAGCCATTCTTTCAGGATATGTCTGCTTGGCATAAATTCTCTTAGTTTTCCTCATATGAAAATGTTTTGATTTCCCCTTCTTCATTTCTGAAGGATATTTTTTCTTGATATAGAATTCTGGATTGATAGTTCTTTTTTTTTCAGCACTTACAAAATATTATGGCAATTCCTTCTGGTCTTCATGGTTTCTGATAAGAAAAAAAAAATCTGCTGTTGTCCTAGTTGCTTTTCTCCTATAGAATATATATATAGTATATATATACACACACACACACACACACACACACACATATGGGTGTGTGTGTCTATGTATAGATACATGTGTATATATGTATATCATTTCTCTCTTGCTGTTTTCAAGATTTTTCCTTTGTCTTTATTTTTCAAAAGTTTGACTATGATATGTTTTGGTGTTTGCTTCTTTGAATTTATCATGTTTGGGGTTAACTTACCTTCCTGAATCTTTAGATGTGTGTCCTTTGCCAAATTTGGGGATGCGTTAGCCATTATTTATCTGAGTCGTTTCTGCTCTGCCCTCTTTCTCCTCTCCTGGGAATTTGGTGACATAAACATCACCTTTTGTCTCAAAGGTGCCTTAGACTCTGTTCCTTTTCCCCCAGTCTAATCAGTGTTATTCCGTCTTCAAGTTCACTGATTCTTTTCTCTCCTCCCTAGGTTCTGCTGTTGAGTCCATCCACTGCGCTTTCTATATTGGTTATTCTATTATTCAGTCCTAACATTTCTATTTGGTTCTTCTTATATATTTTATTTTCTTGCTGAGAATTTGTTTCTTTGTGGAGACTTCTTTTCTTTTTCATTTGTTTCAAATATGTTAAAATTGCTTGTTGAGGCTTTTTTATGATTACTGCTTTTTATTTATTTTATTTTAATTTTATTTATTTATTTATTTGAGACGGAGTCTCACTCTGTTGCCCAGGCTGGAGTACAGTGGTGTGATGTCGGCTCAATGCAGCCTCCGCCTCCCGTGTTCAAACTGAGATTTTCCTAGTTCTTGGTAGAATGAGTGATTTTCTGTTGAAACTTGGATATATTGTGTTATAAGACTTGGGATCTTATTTAAGCTTGTTTTAACTGGCTTCCTCTGACACTGGTCCAGCAAGAGAATGGGGGAGGTTATAACGAGGTGGAGGTGGAAGCACAGGCACTTCACTGGGTCTCTGTTGACACCCTGGGGGAGGGGACTCCTTATTACTGCAGGGTTGGGGGGTGGAAGTTCAAGCTCCCTACACGGTCTCTATTAATGCTGTGTGGGGAAAAGGACGGAGGGCTGGTTATTGCTCAATGGAGATAGAATTCTCAGCTTCCATCTGAGACTGTGCCTTCTCTGATACCCCAGAAGCTGAGATGCCTCATTACTGACTGGTGATGGTAGACATCTGGGCTCTCCACTTGGCCTTTGCTGGCAAGGGTGCTGGGGGAGGGAGGGATGACACGGTTTTTCTCTGTGGTGTTTGGCTGAAGTAGAACGCTTATTACCTAAAAGTTTTATGTCTTGCTATTCTGATCCTTTGACTAGAGAGAGCAGGCTTTTGTTGATTATTTTGTTTGTTTGTTTGTTTGTTTTTAACTATACCCACTTGTGTTTTTACGTTGCTGGGTTCTTCAATGCAAATTGGATATTTCAGGTAAAAAACAAACCAAAACAACCCCACAGTGTATTAGTCTGTAGAGCTGGCATAACAATACCACAGAGTGGAGGCTTAAACAACAGACATTTATTTCTCACAGTTTTGGAGGCTGGAAGTCCAAGATGAAGGTGTCACAGGGTAGGCAACTACAAGCCACCTTCTCACTGTGTCCTCACATGGCCTTCTCTCTGTGCACACATGCTTGGTATCTCCTCTTCTTATGAGGACACCAGTTCTATTGGATTAAGACCTTATTTAACTTTATCTCTGTAAAGGCCCTCCCTCCAAATAGAGTCACACTGAGAGCTGAAGCTTCAACGTATGACTTTTCAGGGGACACAATTCAGTCCGTAATACCCAGAGAATCTGCTGCTATGATGTTCCTTGGGTCCTGAGGTCCCTGGCTGGTCTGCCTTCCTCTCGCCATCTTTCAGAGTCTTCTTACTTTTGTTTTGAATAAAATGTCCAAGTTTTTAGCGGGAGGAATGGGGAAAAGTATATGTTCCTGGAATCGGAAGACCCTCTATCCAGAGCTCTTTAAAGGTGCCTGATGTAACTCAAGTCAAAGCAGTTCTGTTTTGCAAGAGTGAGAAATACTTTTGTTTGAATTCTCATAGTCTCTGAGGACTGACAGCATAAAGATCACCCCCTAGGCCAGAGAGTCGGGAAGAATATGAGATGTGCGATGGCAGATTTACCTCCCAAAAGAAAAAAGTACTCCTTCATCAGGGGAGGAAAGATGCTGAGATAGGATTGGGAAAGGTTAAGAAGGTCTAAGCCCCTGAGAAAGATCCCAGTTCATCCATCTCCTGGACTGTGAGAAGGGGGATGGGCATGGCATAGAAATCTGACTTGTGCTAACTTCTCAGGGAATAGATCAGAGCAAGCAAAGGCAAGTGTCCCAAAGAGGGTGGTATATGTCCGGGGGTACTTGTGCACAGTAGTGCACATTAAAGAACATCTCCTGAGTCTTGCAGCCCTGCACAGAGAGAGATACCAGGTGCTATTTTGTCTGTGCTCATCAGAGTCTCAGCCTGTAAGCTTCCAACCTCTAATGCCAGCCTCAGGGCTCCCCGAGGCCTCCTGGCCTCTGGAATTTCCACACTACCAAAGCTGTCAGCTCCCTCCTTGGGCATGGGTGTCAGAGCAGGCTCCTCCTATTACTCAATCCCCACCTCTCACTATTACGCCGGGCTCCTTGAGGAAGATTGATTCGCCACTTTAAAGGAGCCTCGATGTGCTCGATGAGGATGCCACAAGACAAATGGCTCCTGCCGTGCGCCTTCAGCCCGTTGTCCCATGTTTCCATTACATTTGGGCCACAGTCATGGTGGATGAGCTTGGGTGTAGTGCTCATTTTCTGCCTTACATGATAAACTTGTCAGCATTTGACTGATCAGCTACTTATATGCAGGGAGTTCATTTGCAAGGCCACCTGGCTCCCCGCTCTGTTGTCCTGCTCCCATTTTACCCTGTCTAATGAGCCAGGACCTGGTTCCTGTTGGGCAGCGCTGGGCTCCTGGGCCCTGCAGAGCCTGCACATGATGGCAAGGCCTCAGTGCCTCCTCACAATCTGCCTCCCCTGCCTGGAGGTGACAAGGGCAGTGATGCCCAGGGAGCCATTCTTTCCTGCTGCCAGCCTTGCATTGCCCAGTTAAAAAGGAGTGTGCCAGGCCTCCACTCTCCTGCCTCGAGCCTGCATCAAGGCCTGCTCTCAGCCTCCTGACTGAGCAGGCATGCTGTGGGCTGCCTCAGGAGCTGCAGTCTGCCCACTCCACACTGGCTTTGGGGCTGTTTTTAAGGATCGCTTAGTGAAGGCAGCTACTAAGCCAGGGCTCTCAGAGTTCACCCTGAGGTATGGCCAACAGGAATGAGGTGTACAGCATTCAAGCTGCCTATGGCCCCGGCTTGGCTGGCCTTCAGGCCCATGCCTTTCCCAAGCTGCCAGGTATCCTAGACTCTGCTCTGACCACACTGAGCTCTTCCATGATCCTTCAGCACTCCCTGTTGTTGCTGGCTGAAGTCACATGACTGAGCTGGGCATTCATAGCCCTTGTTGATGAACCTGAGCACTGGGGTTGGATGCCTGAGATCAAACCCAGCTCCCTCCACTTAGTGGATGATTATTATCATCCGTGTTTACAAGAGAAACCTTGTAAATGGCCTAAGGTCAAGATATTTGGTTTCTCTGGTCCTGACCTGTAAATGAGGCATGACAATGATACCTATCTTATATGCATCAATATGCATGTTTAGATTGATATTTGGCACATAGTAGGTGCTCAACAAAGGTTAGCTAATAGCATCACATCATTATGTTCTTCCAGCCCCACCTAAATCCTGCATGCCCTCACCCATAAGCTGGAGGTCAAGCCGATCACTCACAAGCTCTGCTTACAAGCCTGGGGATCTGTTCTCCGGCCATCCAAACCACTGTCCCACCCTCCATCCACCACCCTGCACTACTATACACCTCCTGGCATGCCTCTCCCTTCTTCTTTGCTGATCTGAACCTGACCCAGACCTGGCCAAGGCCTCCCCGGGGCTCTGAAGGCACTGGCTAGCCTGAGCCTGCAGGGACCAGTAGCACAGCACATAGTGCAGGGCGAGCACTATGGCCATCTGCAGGGATGCCTAAGGAGGGGAGAAGGGCAGAGCAGGGAGCCTTGCAAGGGGGAAGAAGCCCTACCTTGTCCCAGCCTCACCCTACCCCCACTCCCCCATCAATTCATGAAGCTCAAAGCCTCAAAAGTAGTTGGGTTTTGCCCTTCATAAGGACATGGCCTTTCCCCTTCCCATTAGCCAGCTGGACACCTCCAGGCCCCCTGTCTGAACTGGGTCCACAGATCCCAGCCCTACTTTGCCCAGGCCAAGGGAAGCACACTAAAGTCCATTACCCAGCATGGACTGTGCTTGCCTTGTTCAGGAGGCCCAGGCCCCACCCTCAGTGAGTGCTGATATGGGGGAGGGGACCAGACCAGGGGTCCAGGGGCTGCAAGTGCTGACTGTCCAAAGCACGGTGGTCTGGGAATGGCATTGGGGTCATGTGCTGTGCAGCAGGGGCTGGTGGTCAGGGATTGGGGGGCACCTCTGGGCTCAGGTGCTGTGTGAGGCTGGCCTGACAAGAGTGCAATTCCACATCTGCACTGAGCAAGCTGTGGAGGCCACGTGCTCAGGGTGTTAGGAGTCCTCCAGGGCAGGGCTGGTACTGCCAGAGGATGAGGGAGCTCAGGGAGGGCTGTCATAGACAGAGGAGGAGAAGGGCCTTGTCCTGGGCACAGCCTGCGTGATGATGAGGAGATGGGATGTCCACAGGATCAGGGAGGGGCAGGAGGTTGTCTGTGAGGTCCACGCAGGGATCTAGGGTGGGAAGGAGGTGGCCATGGAGCCCACGGTGCCATGTTTAGAAATTTGGATTCTCCCTTGTGGGCGGTAGAAGCTGTTTCAAGTTCTAAGAGGGTAATGTGGTGACTGCACCTCCTTAAGGAGCTTACAGGAAGGGGAGTTTCCCCAGGGCCTGGGCTGGCTCTCATTTATGCTTAGATCCTCAGGGCATGGCCGGATCCTTGATGCTGATCAGACTGAGGCAGGGAAGCCCAAGAGGCCATGCAGAGAGTGAGGAGGCATCCTGCCCTCATAGGGACGAGGAGGGGTTCTGAAAGCACAGGGCTCCCAAAGCCTCATCCTCAACAGGAGGGAAGAGAGGATGTCCCAAGGCTAGGCTGGCTTCCCAGAGTAGAAGGTCTGCTGTGGGAGACATCTCCTTCCCCAGGATTTGCAAAAAGTGAGGGAAAGGGGATGCATGGGGACTGGAGACTCCTTTCAGGCAAGGGCATCTGTGGACACTCCTTGTGAACCTGGAGAATTCACCTGGGCAGAGCGAAGACCAGTGCAGTTAGCATCTGTGTACACAGCAGGCATTGAGAAGACCTAGGGGATGGTCTTAAAGATTTACTAACCACCCTGGGAAGGGGAGCTGTCCACATGCCCAAGGAAGGCAAAACGCAGGCGAGAGCTCCCACCATTATATCTGTGATCCAGGCAGCAGGATGGAGGAAGGTGGGAAGCAGGACAAAGAGCACATGCTAGTTATCTTTGAGGAGGTTCCCCGGAAGCTGTGGTGTAGTTTTTTGAGATCTTGCTCATAGAATTTAGACACCTGGTTACCCCTAGCTGTAAGGGAGGCTGGGAAGTATAGCTCTAGTTTGTTATCCATGTACCAAGCTAAAAACCAGGGGTTCTACAAGCAAGGAAAGAAAGGACATGTGGTGTGCAACTAGGAGTCTCTACCATGTAATGAACCTTTCCCTGCAAATGCCATGCACCCATCTTCCCACACACAGAGCACTCTCACCCCTGCCCTGGGTGCCTCATCCTGTCCCAGCATCCAGCCCCCAAGGTCAGGCTCTCCTGGTGATACGCAGCCCTCACCATTGGGTCTTGAAGTGACTCCTTGGAATTTTAAACCAAAATGTTAAACTTTGGGTGGACTTTTTAACTTTTGGTGAACTTTAAACCAAGAGGCAGGCTGTGTACCCCCACACCCAGTACTGAGCAGTGGAGAGAACATCGTCAGCACAATAGACTCCTGTTTGGAAGAAATGGGAACACGCAGCGGGAGCAGGCCTGGCCCCCAACAGGTCCTGCCGGGTGGGCTTGGTGAACCTCCCTGTGCCCTGTGGAGGAAGCTGCCAGGGAGGGCAGCTTCTGGTGCTCTCTGGGAGGAACGCATGTGTCCTTGGTGAAATCACGTGCTCTGTGCCTGACTCCCGCTCCTGAAGAGCCGTCCTTGTCTGTACTCTTCCAGTGCCACCAGGGAGGGGGATTCCCTTTTGAGACCTGCTTACTCTAGAAGAATGTCTAGAGGAGCCTGGGAATTGGTAGAGGCTAACACAAAAGCCAGCTGTGGGCCAGGCTTGGAGCTCCTTTGGATCCATGAGTCCAAAACTGCCCCTACAAGCTCATCCAGATGTGGGTTCAAGGCAGCCTGGCCCTTCTGCCTGCAGCTCTGCCTCTGAACCAACAGCTTGGGGGCAGGGAGGTGACCAATACACTTCCTTCAGGTTTTAATGTGAAATTGCCTAATTTTGAAATTGCAACAACAATTTTGAAATTGCAGTTTAGATGTCTGAAAGTCATAGTTCAGCACAAACAAGCATGCCTACACACAGATGTGGCTCACAGGAGCCCCAGTGGAGGGTGCTGTTGGGTGGGGGATTAAGGGCCCTTCCACTGATGTGGGCTGACATGAGGGTCTAAGCATCCCGCTTCATCTTGGCATGCATGACCAATAGCCCACACATCTGGAGGAGAGCTGGTCACAGCTGGAGAGCAGGGCTCCTGCAGGGACCGTGCGAATGAGCTGGGATCCTGGGGTAGGACAGAGGCTCAGGACACTCTGGCTGACTTCACTGCCCACCCACAGTGGGGCAAGGTGGGGGGTCAGGGCTGGCTCAAGACCTGGGTCTTGTTGTGATCCCAGAAGACAGGGCTGCCCTGCCCTGTGTGGGGCTCTGAGGAGGGAAGACTGGCCTGGAGCGGGACAGGTGCTAGGGCTGTGCCTGCCTCCCCTGCAGACTCCACCAACCGGGACTCGCTGGACATGATTGAGCGCTGCATCTGCCTTGTATGCCTGGACGCGCCAGGAGGCGTGGAGCTCAGCGACACCCACAGGGCACTCCAGCTCCTTCACGGCGGAGGCTACAGCAAGAACGGGGCCAATCGCTGGTACGACAAGTCCCTGCAGGTAAGCCGTCCAGGTGGCCCTGCAAGAGCACAGCCATGCCCCCAGCGAGAGAGTGAGTAGGCAAGCGGGCACAGCCTGGTGCCCAGGCCCGCACGTGCTTGTGTCTGGCAGGCGCACTCACTGGTTTCTGCTGCCTAAGAGGCTGGGTCTGAGGGGTCAGGAGAGCTGGAGGGGTCTGAGATGTGCTGTTGATGTCAATCTCTGGACCAGCCAGAACTCTTCTCAGGAGCCAGTGGCCGAACCCAACTCAAACTCCCTAACCTTCCTGCAGCCTGTGCCAGGAAGGTCTGGGCCAGACCTGGGGCCCATTTCCCATCACCCATCACACCTGTGAGGTGGGGGTGTGCCAGGAGTAGGAGAGTATAACAGCCCCACTGAACAAATCCTTAATGCATGCTGAAATAATAATTTCTGATGCCCAGAGCTGTCAGCTTTTTGGATGTCCACCCCCGTGGCCTGGCGATTTCAACATACCTCCCTCAATCCCTGAGAAGTAGAACAGCCCAGCATCTCCATGGAAGAAAGACTGTAAGATGAGATAAAATAATTCATATATGTTCATTTACATGACATCAGCCTAGAAGCAAGAAATTTACTTTGACCTAGAGAAAAATACCCATGCAGACGGGATGAAGTCAAGGTCAAACCATTCATTCCCATTCTGCCATCCTCCTTTTATTCCCCCAACATGCCAATCCTGAACCTAGTCTTGTTTATTTTAAAGTCACTACACTTTTATATGATATG
Source organism: Homo sapiens (assembly GCF_000001405.40). Classification (NCBI taxonomy): domain Eukaryota; kingdom Metazoa; phylum Chordata; class Mammalia; order Primates; family Hominidae; genus Homo; species Homo sapiens. Next base: position 49,647,422 of record NC_000010.11, read on the forward strand.
CCATGTAGTATAAAACAGCAGGCAAAAACAAAACATCTCTCTACTTTGGGTTAGCAAAGCTCACATTGATAAGCATATCTAGACAACACCTCGTTTTCCTTTCTCTCTGTCCCTACATTCTGCAGGTTTTCCTTTTTATTGGTTTGCATATTGATTCTGTTATTTCTGATGCGCTCTCCAGCTGCTGGGCCAGCTGTTTTAGCCTCTACAGTGGTGCTAATGGCTTATCATCTTTCATGGAGCTGTGGGGGTGAACCGATATAATACATGCACAGAATCTGGAACTCAGCCTTGGTAGCAGTTTTCAAAAGACACCGCTTTCCTTCCTTCCTTCCTTCCTTCCTTCCTTCCTTCCTTCCTTCCTTCCTTCCTTCCTTCCTTCCTTCCTTTTAGTGACAGGCACAGATAAGTACTAATGTGGGGGGTGGGTGCAGCCCTCTCCACCACCTCTCATGGGTTAGTCTATGCTGACCTCCAGGTTCTTTTCATCAGCAGGGCAGATTATCAGGCGAACCAGAGAAGCCAGCAGGGCTTCATGGACCTGAATTCAAGATGATGGAGAACTGGTCTCAGGATAGCAAGGCAGGGGACACTGGGGGCGGGAGGGGAGGGCCTGCAAAGGGTGAGTTTGGGGAGAAGCTCTGTGGGAAGTGAGTTTCTTTGTAGAATGGGAGTAAAGATCCAGCCTCTGGCACACAAGGCAAGAGATTGGGAGGAGACCCCGATGTGAGCTATGACAGGAAACAGGGCTGAAGGGCCTCACCCAGGCCCCAAGGGCAGCTGGGCAGACTCGTCCTGAGGATGAACTCCTCAGAAATCCCTGGACTGCTCAGTCCGGGAACTTGGGGCTCCACCTTCACTGCCCACAGCTTTTACGGGAAAGAGGTCGTGAGTGCAGAGTAGTCTTGGATTCTCATATTCTCAGGCCACTGCAATCACATGCAGTGTTCTCTTCAGGAAATAATGTGCTCTGGTGTCCCTGGAGAAGAGGTGCCCTGAGAAGCCAGGGGCCTAACCTGGGGCCAAGGGGCTGCCTTGCAATGCTGACTCTCCCATGATCGCCCACTCCCTCTTTCCTGTTGCAGTTTGTGGTGGGCCGAGACGGCACCTGCGGTGTGGTGTGCGAACACTCCCCATTCGATGGCATCGTCCTGGTGCAGTGCACTGAGCATCTGCTCAAGCACGTGTGAGTCTGGATCCCAGGGCTGCCATGCTGGGCCCAAAAAAATGTGGGTGGTCGCTGGGGGCTGTGTCAGTCTGGAAAGCGTCTTAACAAAAGATGAATTTGAAAAAAATGTGTACTATACACACACACACACACACACACACACACACACGATGAATTTGAAACCCAGCTTTGTATGCGACATCATGTGCTTCACGGGCCATGGATAGGAGGCAGCAGATTTACGGCAGTCAGGGAGAAGCATGGCAAGGAATTCTCAGGAACCTCTGCCTTGAGAGAGGGGAAGCCTACATCGATACCTATTGCTTATCCTGAGTCAGGGCCAGGCCCACGGCTGCCCCAGCACAGGGGGAGTTCTCTGAGTCTCACTGCTTCCAAATCCCAAGGCTGGGTCCCTCCTTAGCTCCCCAGCAGGGTTCCTCTGTGCCCTAAACACATGGTATTCCTTCCTCTATTCCCAATTTTACCCATTCTCTCCTAGAATCTTCTCCCTGCATCCAAGTCTTCAATTTCTTCCATGAAACTCAGGGTTACTGAAACCTAAACCAAGCCTAGTAGGCACAAACCTTGTAGAAGAGAACAACACAGCTTGCTCTTAAATTTCTCTCCAAGTCTTCTGTAAGGGTGTAACATGGTCTAATAGGAAAACAATGAAAAGAAATAATGGGTTTTGGAGTCAGGCGGAACTGGATGGAGCCCTGGCCCTGCCACTTAATGATTTTGGTGGCCTCTCTGAGCCTCAGTTTATTCATCTGCACGGTGGTTCAGGGGCAGCTCGTACCCCCTGAAACTCCATGGCCGCAAACACTGACAGCTAAGATGATTGCACAGAGCAAAGAAGAGATGCCTCCCACAGCTGTCTGGCCGCAGAGCCTCAGGAGGTTGCCTCTGTGCCCGCAGGACGCAGAGCAGCAGGAAGCTGATCCGAGCAGACTCCGTCAGCGAGCTCCCCGCCCCCCGGAGGCTGCGGTGGAAATGCTCCCCGGAAATTCAAGGCCACTTAGCCTCCTCGGCAGAAAAACTTCAACGGTAAGGATAACCGAAGTCTCCTTTGAGGGGTCCCCTAGGGACCACCCCGCCCTTGCCTACTAGCTCCCAAGGCTCCCTGGAAGTTTCCAAAGACCCCAGCTCCTCTGCCTCTCCTTGGGCTCCACCTCGTCCCCATCCCTCATGTAGTCAAATTAAAGGAGAGATACAACTCTGGGGAAATAACCTTGCTGAAGTATCCATCATTTCTCTAAAATGCAAACGCAGGGCTATTTTTTTTTTTTTTTTTTTTTTTTTTTTCAGTTTCACCTGACTGAGCAGAGTCAAGGCCGGGAAATCATCCCCTGCTTTAGGGGGAGTAATAAACAACTGGTTTGAATAGGTCATTTGAATTCAAGCTATTTAAATTTGCTTGAATGTACAGTGCAACTTGACAAAGGGGCCTTTTTCCCCAAGGGGAGGGGGCCGTTCAGGCCCTAACGGGACCCAGGCAGGAGGGCCTGGGGCAGCAGCAAGCAGTGGTGGCAGCCACATCCTGGCAACCACGTCTGCACTGTAGCTGTTGATTCTCCCATTCAGTAAGCAAGCACGAATGCATTCATTCACTGGTTTGCTCATTCATTCATCAAACATGTGCAGAGCTCTGGTGTGCACCCGGCCCGTGGTAAGGCTCTGAGAACACAGAAAGTTAAGTACCATGGGACCTGCACTCCATATTTGAGTGGAATAAGTAGACTCCCAGGCCAAAACATGTGATACAGTAAGATTAATGCCAAAAGCAGAAACAGCCATGCTGACCTGAACCCACAAAAATATAGAAGCTGAACTCTGTCAGGACTGTGAGGGAGGGCCTTGTAGAGACGGGCCTTGAAGGATGGATAGGAGTTCATGGTGCAAGCAGATGGGGAAGAGGCAGAAAGGCAGCTTCTTCAAGCTTGTACAAGTTCATAATGATGAAGGCTGGTTTGGAGACCAGCAAGTGAGAGAATGGCCAGAGTGGGGCCACAAAAAGGAAGTTGGGCCACACTGTGATGAGTGTCACTGTCCTGTTATGGGCCTAGAGCCTGCCCTGCCACTGGAGGGTTCTGTGCAGGGGGTATGGGGACGCCCCTGAGGAGGCTGTGGGAAGGGCACATGTGAGCAGGACAGAGTGTGGCCAGGCTGGGAAGCTGAAGAGCGGGAAGGACCCATCCACTGGGAGCTGCTGGAGAGGTTGCCTGGCTTCAGTGGGCATGGAGGGGCCTCAGGTGTTCTATAAAGTGGTGCTCACATCTCAGCTTTGCAGGGTTGTTCAGGAGCTAAGTCAGGGGCCAAGGCAGTGAGCTGGTGGGCTGCTGAGTCCTCAGTGGGTAAAGGAGTCCACTCACTTCCAGGGACCTGAGCAGACCCCACATTCCCCAAGGCCCCCAGCTCCACCCTCCAGAGGCTGAGGAGAGCCAGGAAAGGCCCATGGATGGGGAAGAAGGAGGCTTCTTCCTGGGGGTCCTGAGGGGCCCATACAAGTGGGTGAGGCCCGAGTGGGCACAGCTTGGGGGAGAGATTTCCAGGTGGCTGTGGTGATAGTGAGCTCAGTCTGTCCCAGACGTCTGTCAACAGGTAGGTCTAAGGAGCGAGTACTCATGGGAACTGGGTCTCCTCCAAGTCCCCCTGTGTTCCTAGCACCTGGCCCCACCGAGAGCTGAGCTGCTGTGAGCAGGAGGAATACTTCAAGGAGAGGCAGGCAGGGAGCATGGAGTCCCGACAGAAGGTGTGCGTGTGGGCTCGGGGTTCCCACTCAGGCTATGCGCTCTCCAGTGGGGAGGCACATAGACCTTGCCAGACACTGCTCCAGTGGGCAGTCAGCTCAGACCCCAGACTCCTGATGGAGGAGGAGATTGTTCAATATGAGGGTCAGCCAGTGCTCCAGAGTCTCAGTGCAGACTTGGAAAATGTTCCTGTTACTCCGACAGTGAATTACAAAATCCCGGGCATGTCACCTGTGTCACAGTTAATCCCTGACTCACTAACACAGCCAGGCCCACCTCCCCACCCACTCTCCAGAGCAGGGCCGACACCCCACTCAGCTGAGCTCACCTTGGGTCATAGTAGTCCTGGCCTGGTTTGTCTTCTGACACTTTCATAGGTCAAGGCATGTCTCTGACACCTCAGTGCACTCCTGAAGGGCAGGGACTACGTCCGCACCTTCCAGAACGCTAGGACACAGACCAGGCTCTAGAAGCCCGGGGAAACCCCAGATGCATGCATACTGTTTTGCATGCAATAAAAACATCTTTTCTTTTTCTTCCTCAGAATAGTAAAGAACCTTGACTTCATTGTCTATAAGTTTGACAACTATGGGAAAACATTCATTAAGAAGCAGAAATGCAGCCCTGATGCCTTCATCCAGGTGGCCCTCCAGCTGGCCTTCTACAGGTGAGTGAAGGTGGAGTGAGTCTGTACCCTGGAGGGCTGACGGACACAGTGCTGTAGGATCTAGGGTCTAGAAGCATCCTGGAGGGAGGGACAGCCTTCTGTGGGCCTGGAAGACTGGAGAGGGACTGAGGCTGCATGAAGGAGGAGCAGACTGAACTGGGTTACAAATCCAACCTCAGAACAAGAAGGATGTGCCATCAGGGAACTGCCTGGGTGATGGCACAGGGGCACGGAGCTCCAAAGGACTGGAGTGTAGAGCTGAGAAGAGCCAGGAGGGGATGAGGACCATGGTTGGGGTTGGGGGGCTGCTCTCCATCCCAACTTCCCCCATCTCACCCAAGCCCTATTGCTGCAACCTGTTCCTCCCCAGTCTTCCCAATCTTGCTAAGGAAATGGAACCAGCAGCTCCCCCAGCTGATCAAGACAAAGATTTTGGACTCATCCTTGATTCTGCCCTTTCTCGTATCCCCGCACACTGCCATATCCGTTCTCCTCCAAATGTCTCTCACCTGCCCTCCACCTCCACTGCCATTGGCCCCTCCCAGGCCACCATCAGCTCATGCTTAGCCAACGGCAGCACTTCCCTAGGGTCACTGCTTCCAGTGTTGCCCCTGGTAATCCTGTCTTCATGAAGAGTGAACTTTGAAATATGCAAATCAGACTAGATTACTTTCCACATGAAACTTCCCAGCGCCTTCACACCAGGCTTAGAACAAAAGACAGGCTTAGAAGTGCCCCCTGTGGACTGGCCCCACCTGAGGCCCTCCCACACCCCCAGCTCTCTCCTGCCTCCTGACCTTTGCCCTGGCTGTGCCTCTGCCACCCACGGAAGGTGTGCGTGTGGGCTCAGGGTCACCACCCTCCACACGCACCAGCCCTTTCCAGCCCAGTTTCCATCCCTCGAAGCCTTTCCCCACCCCCTTATCTAAAGCAGCCCCCTGTGGCCCCCTTGCCACCCATTCTCTGTCATACCACATTGAATTTTCTTTTTCTTTCAGGCAGTTGTTACTTCTGTGAATTATCTTGTTTGCAGGTTTGCTGGCTTTGTTTTCTAGACTATCCCCGCGACCCTGACATTCTGGGCATCTCGCATGCCTCTGAGTCCCTAGCACCCACACCATACCTGGCACAGAGTAGGTGCCAGAGACTGAATCACAGACGGGAGGTTTAGCCAGAAGTGGTCCGGCCAGGTCTGGGATTTAGACCTGGTGGCCCAGGTAGCTGTGTGTCGGGGAAGGGGTGAATAGTAGGGAAATCAGGAGTGAAGGCAGGGGAGAGGTCAATTAGCCTTACAGGAGGCGAAGAAACCAAAATGTGAAATAGATCTTCCTGGAGATGGGGCCAGCTCCTGACAGTTCCAGGGCTGCAGAAGCAGCGGCTCATCAACTGCCTGCTATGAACGGTAAAGCTCTGCCCTCCAACCTGCTTTCAGTTTGCAACTTCCATGAAGGGCATAAAGTTACCCTGCAGTAAAGCTAGGGCAAGGCATTCTCACTAATGAACAGGCAGCACCCGTGTAGACACAGCAGCCCAGTGTCCCCTGCGGGGCTGTAATTCTCAAGGAAGTGAGTGCAGCCACTTTGAGTGTCTGTCCTGTCCGGACACCTTGGGGAAGGCCGATGTCATCCCACATGAGGACTGGGCTTGCTGCTGAGACTTGAAGAGGCAGAAACCTCACCAGTACTGAGATGCTGCAGGACCTGCCTGGCATTTGGAATGGTGGTCAGTGCCTTCTGATACTCAGAGGGCATGGGGCCGAGATAGGCCGTGAGGTCAGCATCCTGCCAGAGCCTCGACTGGGGATGCCACTAAGACCAGCTGCTCGGGACCTCTCTACTATGAGCACTTCCAAGTTTCAGATCCAGAGCTGAGGGGGACAGTGCAGCCTGCACAATGCACCCCTCCTCCTCCTGCCTGTGGGCTGTGCTGTCACTGGACAAGGCCAGGAAAGGACATAGCCAGAGGCTCCTGGGTTCATCGAATGGCCAAAGAGGATCTGCTTCCCATGAGCAGCATTCTTCAGGCTCTAAGCTGTAATAATCACAATTGTTTTTATCTGCCCCCAGATTCAGCAGAAACCTAGAGGCTGCCTGAATTCGGGTTGGTCAATGACTGGCCAGTGATGGTGTTTGCCTCCAGGGACCATAGAGACAGGACAGGAGCTCCTTGCCAGAGTCTTGGGGAAATATGTCAGAGTGTACAGGAAGGTCATTCCCTTGCTCACCAAGCAAGACAGTGTCACACACCCTGCAGACTTGGACATGGCCTTCCCAAACCTCCAGGAGCCCAGCCAGTGAGGGAGAGACATCCTGAGAGGGCTGAGATGTGGGGCCACGACTTGCTGGGTGACATTGGGCTGTCACTGCTTCTCTCCAAGCTCTGTGTCTTTTTTCCTCCCCCACTCCCAACATCAAGGACTTTACCAAGTGGTGAGAAAGGGAGTGTGCCCACCAGGGGTGCAAGCCCAGGGACGCTGGCCCAGTTACCATGCATAAGGACAGAGGAGTCCCCTGGCTGGTGGGGAAGCAGCCACTGCTGCTCAGGACACAGTCATCAGGGAAGAGAGGCACAGCCATGGTGCCCATGGGTCTGTCAGAAGCCCAGCTGCCCCTGGAAGGGAGGGCCTGGACAGCCGTTTACGCTTACCACCACTAAGGCTCCTCCCTGCCTCCCTCTGGAGGTCATGCTTGAATCAGTTTAAATAAAACAGGATTCCCGCATAGGTGGGAATGATTAATTACACAATTATTCCATTCTGTGCTGTTCATCAAACACTCAGGTCTCACAGAAAACTCTAGGTTTCCCACCAGGTTGGGAATTTTTTTTGAAGCGCTACCCGTCACTTCTTTATTTTATGTCAGTGCAGCATCCCCGGGTGTATATAAGCAAACGTGGCTCTCCATGTGGGAGACTCCCCAGCGTCATCTTTGGGAATTCCCTCTAGAATTCTATTAATATTAAAATGAAATATTCTGCCAAGTCAAGTCAGGGCTGTGAAAATAAAGCTTGCTGAGGCAATTTTTCTTTCCGAGTTTATGATTTCCCAAGAATAAATTACCATGTGCCATTCATCCTTCATCCCACGCAGGCTCCATCGAAGACTGGTGCCCACCTACGAGAGCGCGTCCATCCGCCGATTCCAGGAGGGACGCGTGGACAACATCAGATCGGCCACTCCAGAGGCACTGGCTTTTGTGAGAGCCGTGACTGACCACAAGGCTGCTGTGCCAGTAAGTCCCGCCCCACCCCACGGCCACAGGAAACCAGTGAGGCTGCTGTGGTTGCCCTGGGTTGCAGTGGGCTCGGCCCTCTGACCACCAGATGCTTTGGCTCCAAGCAGCCTTTTAAACCCCGCGCTGCCTCTGTGTTCTGTTGACAGGCTTCTGAGAAGCTTCTGCTCCTGAAGGATGCCATCCGTGCCCAGACTGCATACACAGTCATGGTGAGTGACGTCGCACCACCTCACAACACTGCACTTGAGCTGTGCCTGGGGCCTGCCAGAATGGGCACCACGGCATAAGACCCTGTGTGAGGGCCCAGCCACCTGTTACTCGGGGACTTGGCAAGGCCACTTCACCACTCGGTCTCTTGTTTCTTCGTTTTAGAACCTAAGTAACATAGCATTCCTGTTTTTGACATGGATTTTATAAGAATACAAAAGTTACCACTTTTCAAACCCTTTGAAACAACCATACTGACAATAATAGCACCTAATATGTATAGCATCTTGCAGTTTATACAAGAGGAGTCAACTGTGAGGGGAAGGGGCTCAAGCCTGGCAAGCGATGGGGGTCACACACCTTCCCCAATCTCAGGCAAAACAGTATCTGTTCCCACCTAGGGCTGCTTTTGCCTCTCATTCTCTGTATATTCATTTATACTACCTGTGAATAAAAAGTCTTTGCTGAAAATTAATAGGGAAATCAAACTTGCAAGGGAAATGTTTCTCTAGCTTAGAGAAATAATTCATTTTCTGGCACTGCAAAGCTATTGTTTGCAATAGCAAAATAGAGAATAAGCAGTGACTTGGGCGGCTCATCAATACCTGCATTGCAAGTCATTCTAATACAGTCTTTGAAGGATCATATAATCTATGAGAAGGAGCTGAACAAATTTCACTATAGATACTTGAAAACAGAAACAATGCATTTCTGGATTTTAGAACTAGCCAACATAGACTTCTCTCTAATTCAGTTGCTAGGTCCCTAATTCATCTAAATACTTCAGTGTTTGTTCTATTTGGGGAAAACATAGCACCCACTCATGTATTCAGTGGGTTTTTTTTTTTTTTTTTTTTTTTTTTTGGTCTTCATGCTTTATGCCAGGCAAGGTGCTGGGTGCTAGGAAACAAAATATGAAGTCCATAAGCCCTGTCCTTAGGGAGGTTACCATGTAGTTGGGAGAAGAGGCCCTTCAACGTGAACACCAATCCCATGTGAAAAGAGCCCTCAGAAAGTAGCAGGGGACATGGAGGAGCCAGCTGTTTCCTCTGCTTGGGAAAGCCAGGAAGAATTCCCAGGGAAAGTGGTGCTTCCTGTGAGCCACAAAGGATGAAGAGAGGCTTGTCAGGCAGACACAGAAGGGAAAGATGGCTCAAGAAGGGCACCACGTGCAAAGACTGAGAGCCTTAAGAGAATAAGACCCATTCGAGGAAAAGCAGAGCACAGCTTGCAAAGGACAGTGGGGCAGGGGAGATGTTGGATTTCCCTGTTACAAAGTGTGTTATGGTGACTGGGTGGAAGAAGGACTGGTTGGAATTGGGGGTGGGAATGTTTGCTGAGAGGCAGAGTTGCTGGTTAAGAACCTTTCTAATATGGAGGAAGAGCTGGTGTTTGGACTGGAGTAGGACAGGGGCAGGGTGAAGGGGAAGTCGTAAACTCCTCCTCTTGGTGGAAGAAACTCTTCGCGCATGGTGGACTGCACACAGGGTTACTGTCACTCTCTCTGAAACCCTCCAAAAACAACAGCAAGGGATTTTTGAAAGCCGTAAATACACCAGGGCAAAGAGAACAGGAAAGGAGTGGCAGCAACATGTTAGAGCTGGAAAGTAGAACACATGGCGACTGACTCAGCAAACAGTGAGAGAAGCTTGGGAGACTGGGTAATTTATGAAGAACAGATAATTATTTTTTAAAGTTCTGGAGGTCGGACGTCCAAGATCAAGGTGCCAGAAGGTTCAGTGTCTGGCAAAGCCTGCTCTGTGCTTCCAAGATGGTGCCATGTTGCTGCATTCTCCTGAGGGGACAAGTGCTGTGTCCTCACATAGTGGAAGGTGGAAAGGCCGAGGGCTGAACACTGTGTACAGCCTCTTGTATAAGAGCCTTAAACCCGTTTATGACCTAATCACCTCCTGAAGGTCCCACCTTCTAATACTATCATACCATTAAGTTTCAACACATGAAGTTTGGACAGGACCCAAACATCCAAACCATAGCAGTTGATGATCTATATAAAAAGCAGTTAGACCCTCAGTTCCTCTCTACCACCCCAGGCAGCCAGGCTACTAGCCCCCCTCCCCAGTGGTGGGCTAGAAGTTCATTCTCTGGAGAGGCTGAAGCAGAAGGACTCCAGACTTGAGGACACTAGGCATGGCTGAGGGAGGGAATACTGTACGGAAATTAATTGGTTAATTAAAGTCTTACTACTTTCTTCTTACTTACTATTAAGCCCTTCAGCCACTCAGCTCCATACACACTGGGAACTAGCTCTGTAACCATCCCTCACCAAGCAGGAGATTAGAAGATTTCTCTGTGGTAAAATTGACCAAGCCAAGAGAGAACACTCACAGAAACTGATGGTTGGGGCCCACAGTGAAAGAGCCTAGTCAGCAGATGAGGTAGTGGTTTGCCAAGAGGCAGAGCTGCTAGTTAAGAACCATTTTAATATTGAAGAAGAGCTACTGTAAGGACAGTGAAGCCCCCAGGTTAACAAATACATTATCATACATAAATCTTCTAATCATATTTTCAGTGCTTTATTCTTAAATACAAATAGCCATAGATCCTCCGACATTGAGGAGACATAAAAGAGTAAAACCAACACCAACAAACATTTTTGCTAATTAAAAAAATCTTTTTAAAAAAACTTAAAATGGACCAGGCACAGTGGCTTATGCCTGTAATCCCAGCAATTTGGGAGGCCAAGGCAGGCAGATCACCTGAGGTCAGGAGATCGAGACCAGCCTGGCCAACATGGTGAAACCCTGTCTCTACTAAAAATACAAAAAAGGCCAGGTGTGGTGGCTCACACCTGTAATCCCAGCACTTTGGGAGGCTGAGGCAGGCGGATCACCTGAGGTTGGGAGTTCAAGTCCAGCCTGACCAACATGGAGAAACCACTTTTCTACTAAAAATACAAAAAATTAGCCAGGCGTGGTTGCACATGCCTGCAATCCCAGCTACTCGGGAAGGCTGAGGCAGGAGAATAGCTTGAACCCGGGAGGTGGAGGTTGCAGTGAGCCAAGATCACGTCATTGTACTTCAGTCTGGGCAACAAGAGTGAAACTCCATCTCAAAAAACAAAACAAACCAAAACACCACCACCACCAACAAAATTATCCAAGTGTGGTGGCACATGCCTGTAATCCCAGCTACTAGGGAGGCTGAGGCAGGAGAATCGCTTGAACCCGGGAGTCGGAAGTTGCGGTGAGCTGAGATTGCACCACTGCACTCCAGCCTGGGCGACACAGCAAGACTCCTTCTCAAAAAACAAACAAACAAACAAAAACTTGAAATGAAAAAAGTACAAGAAACAATTGAACAGTTTAAAAGTGATCATTGAGATTCTTTGAAAAATAAAAGGAGTTATTACATCTATATATGATAGGAAACTAAAAACATTTTTCAGGAAATAAAAATAACTCTGGGGGAAAATATGGTAGAAAAAAATTCAGTGGAAGAATTAGAAGATAATCTGAGATAATATCCCCAAAATATCAACACAATAAAGAGATGAAATATAAGAGAGAAAAGAGGCTTAGTCCAGGAGAATAATATTCCAAATAACTTGCTTAATAGATGGAAAATACTCATAGCAAAGGAAATTTCACAACACTAAACATGAAGAGAAGATTCTAAAATCTATCAGAGGATAAAAAAATCAAATACAAAGATCCATAAAAAAGATGTAATTAATTTCTGAACAGCATCATTGGAAGGTGGAAGATAAAAAGAGTAGTGTCTTCAAATTCTGAGAGAAAGTGACCTTCAACACACATTTCATACCCAGCTAAACTGTCATCAAGTTTGAAGATGCATCAAAGATATTTTTAGACAGAGAAAGTCTCAAACATTTTACTTATTAAGCACCATTTCTCATAAAGCTACTGGAGAATGTAGACTTCTAAAGTGAGAAAATAAAACATAAAAGAGGAAATCATAGGCTGAAAAAAAACAGAAGATTTAACACAAGAAAAAGATAGAGGGGTGCCCGCAGGATGACAGTAAAAGGAGATCACAAATCAACAGTTGTTGAGTACACCTAGAGAGCAATCAGTCCATAAAGAAGCAAGAAGTGAGAGGACAAATGAAATTCTTGCTGCATGTTTAGGAATCAGTTAGAAACAGATACATGGGGCCTGGCACAGTGGCTCATGCCTGTAATCCTAGCACCTTGGGAGGCCGAGGTGGGTGGATCACCTGAGGTCAGGAATTCAAGACCAGCCTGGCCAACATGGCAAAACCCCATCTCTACTAAAAATACAAAAAATAGCCAGGTGTGGTGGCACATACCTGTAATCCCAGCTACTAAGGAGGCTGAGGCAGGAGAATCACATGAACCCAGGGGGTGGAAGTTGCAGTCAGCCGAGATCACGCCACTTCACTCCAGCCTGGGTGAAAGAGCAAAACTCCATCTCAAAAGTAAATAAATAAATAAATAAAATAGATACATGGAAAGCTAAGGAAGTAAAAAAGTAATTTATACATTGTCAATTCTAGGGAAAACAAAAAATTCAATAAGAAAGGAAATCTAATCATAGTACACTACATGACCCAGCTGTGAATACTTGCTTAATTATACTTATGTATATCGTTCTGTATACATGATTATGCTGTATCTTGATCAAACTACAAAGAGTTAAAACATAATCTTATTGGGAAGATGGGAGAGTAGAAGTGTGCTGGGGGAGCAGGGTCATAAAAGAGCTGAAATTGGCCGGGTGCAGTGGCTCACGCCTGTAATCCCAGCACTTTGGGAGGCTGAGGCAGGTGGATCACAAGGTCAGGAGATCGAGACCATCCTGGCTGACACGGTGAAACCCCATCTCTATTAAAAATACAAAACAATTAGCCAGGTGTGGTGGCGGGGTGCCCGTAGTCCCAGCTACTCAGAAAGCTGAGGCAGGAGAATGGCATGAACCCAGGAGGCAGAGGTTGCAGTGAGCTGAGATCGCGCCACTGCACTCCAGCCTAGACGACAGAGTGAGACTCCATCTCAGAAAAAAAAAAAAAGAGCTGAAATTTCACTGTCTATAACAAGAAGATTATAGGTAAAACTGAGAAATTCAGTAGTGGTAACCTAAGCATATGTTTGGAGGAAAGAAAGTATATACCCAAAAGAAATAGCTAAAAGACTGTAAGGAATTACCTTTGTGGGGTAGGAATCCGTGCTGGCAAAATGACCTAGGCTTTTGGTTTATTTGGATTTCTAAACGATATAAATATATGACAATAACAACTTTAAATTTATTAAAATGTCTAGGAAAACACCCTCCAAAGCATTGCCATAGGGTTGTGTTAATAATTTTAAGTTGATGAGAACAACCAAATCAAAGAGATGGGTTTGGGGAAAGGAGAGATACAAAGATGCTTAGGATGTGAATCTGGTGTGTGGTTGGACATGGAGGGTAAGGAAAGGGGGAAAGAAGCAAGGAAACCTAATAACTGGTAAGCATATTTGCCAGTGGTCGTGGAGAAATAAAGTTCCAATGGCAAGGTGGTCCAGAGCCCCCATCACTTACTCTCCCACTTCTATGTTTTCCCTTCCTCACACTTGAGTTTATGATCATGTTTTTTTGCATGGTTGATGAAATCTGTCCCCCACTACACCATAAGCTCCACAAGGACTGAGTCTACAACTGTCTTGTTCTCTGTTGTGGCTACAGGACCCGCGGCACCAGGCATATAGTAGGCACTCAATTAAGATTCCCTAAATGAATGAATGAAAGACTGAATTATAAGTCATTTTACTCGTTATTACTCATGGCTCTGAGCCAAACAACCTGTGAACTCAGTCTCTCTTGCTACAGTTATTCCAAGGTGGTGAAAAGAGGGGTGAGTTGACTGTTCACAGGGAAGCTGCTTCTATGGACCAACACAAATCAGGAATTAAATAGAGGAAACCAGAGAAATTAAAAGAGTAGTCTCCTTCATAGATGGGCTCACCGTTCTTTCCTTCGGTCCTAACAGGTAGGGCACGTCTAAAGTGAGCTGTGGTTGTGTAATGTTTGTCTTTTCAGCCTCTAATTAGGTGCGTTCAGAGAGACCAGAGCCTGAGTCATCTTTATGCATTCATTCGCAACTGAAAGAGAACAGCTGTCAAATCCCTAAACGTGCCTTGTAAACCTATACCAAGTTCATTGTGAATGGGAAGTTTCCTCCTGTGCAGGGCTTTGACAGCTAACTGGCCATCCTACAGAACTGTGAAACCCCAAGAGTTACTCACAGTTACCCTGATGTTGACCCAAAAGTGATTACTATGGGTCAGGGTGGCCCCCTGAGTCTCCATCAGCCCCTAGAATTGCTCCAAATAAACATGCAGTCCAAAAAACCAGTGTGCATACTACATACCCAGCCTCAAGTGGGGGAGCTGTAGAATGAGTACCCGGCCCCACTTCCAGACACCTCACCCTCCGTGAACCCCTCCTACATTGACATCCTGGAGCTTTCTCTATATTTCTATCCTTTGATAAAAGTTTAAATATCTTGTGATAAAAAGAAAAAGAACTTTTATTATTCAACAGGCTCTTTCCCCTTGAAAATGTCAGTTGAGCCTGCTAAGGGGTCTAGTTCCTGTCTCAAAACGATTTCTTAGATTATGGATCCAGTTTAAATGAATTGATCCTGAGCCATGAAATAGCAGCCAAGATTCAGTAACAGATCTCACACCCTCTATCCTCTATCTCTTGTTCCCTGGGCTCCTACTGGAGGAGACAGCGCTGGTTGTGGTGGGAGTCTGTTCAGGACAGCCTGGGACGCCCTTCACAATGCTTGCACAGGATCCGGTAGTCTCCAAGCTCTGCACACAGCCTTCTTCCCAAACTCTCTCCCTGCCCAAGCAGTTGGTAGTTGAGAAGACCAGGCCAGCCCCATTCTTTCCACTTAGAGAACCAGGCGGATATAGTTGTGTAGGGGATGCTCAGACTCACTAACCTTTAGCTCAGATGTCTCAAGCTAGAACCCAACCTGCTCTGGACTCATTCAGTGCATGTGGAAATGCGCAAGGGCCCGGGAGCAGAGGCCGCATGGTAGAGCGGTCAGTCCTGAGCAGCCACTCATACACATTGTTGGCAGCAGGCACTGGGTAAGCATGAGCCGTGGCTGCTGGAGTCACCAGCAGTCCTGTAGACTACAGAGCAGGGAACAAGGAGGTGCAGGAGGCCCACTTCTCATCTCCTGTTCTTTGTCCCCAACTACACAGGCCATAACAGGGATGGCCATTGACAACCACCTGCTGGCACTGCGGGAGCTGGCCCGGGCCATGTGCAAGGAGCTGCCCGAGATGTTCATGGATGAAACCTACCTGATGAGCAACCGGTTTGTCCTCTCCACTAGCCAGGTACGGCCCCGTGCAGCTATCGCCCAAGAGTAGTGTAGTCAGTAAGCTTTCTAAAGAGCAGTGACAACAAGCCCACTAGCTGGAATCAGGCAAATCCTGCCTCTGCTTTTTCTGAACTATGTGATCTTCAGCAAAATGATCTGAATGTTCATTAGAAGATGGTTTACTGACCAGGCTTGGTGGCTTACAACTATAATCCCAACACCTTGGGAGGCTGAGGCAGGAGGATTGCTCCAGCCCAGGAGTTTGAGACCAGCCTGGGCAACATGGGGAGACCTCATCTCCCTATTTTTAAAAATTAGCTGGGCATGGTGGTGCGTGCCTGAAGTCCCAGCTACTAAAGAGGCTGAAATAAGAGGATTGCTTGAGCTGGGGAGGTGGAGATTGCAGTGAGCCCTGATTGCACCACTGCATTCCAGCCCAGGTGACAGAGTGAGACCCTGTCTCAAAAAAAGAAAAAAGGAAGAAGAAGGTTTCCCATCTCCTAAATGGGAGTAATCAGCAGACCCTACTTAGCCGAGGTGGAGACAGTACAGGAACATACCCATTCTGGTGCCCTAACCATTACACCTTACTACCTTTCAATCTATTGCCGCGGTTTCCACGGGCTCTGATGCCCAGCAGGTCTGCAGTGAAGTCTTGGCTTGGCCAGATACAATTATGTAGGGAGAAAGCCCAGCCCAGGGCCTGGCATGGACAGGGCCCTCTAAATAGGTCACAGATATTATTATAAAGGGCCACGCAACCAACAGCAGAACATTCGTGGCCAGCCCAACATCTAACCAGTGCCTCAGCGTGTCCTGTATGAGAGCCACTGCCACAAAGACAGAATGCAATCCATTAGAGAGAGGTCGTGGTTTAGGAGGGGAAATGCCCCACAGCCATCAATTTACTAAAATGCCACCTCATCTGCGAAAGGCTGGATGGGCAGTACTGGAGTTGATAAGCTGTGTTTGAGGACAGAAGCCCACTCAGTAATGGGATGTTGTCATTATGGCAGTGAGCATGCAGACGTGAATAAACGAGGACAGAACACAGCACCATAAATTTCTCAGGAAATCATCCATGGGCAAAAAGTGCTTTGGAATGGCTTTATGGCCTTCGGCTATTGCACGGCAAATTTATCTGACAATGTGGTGACTCTATTAGCAAGACTAATGGTTTGTTCTGCCCCATTAAAACAGCCAGTGTCACTTCCAAAGGCCTCAGCACACAGCACCAGAAACCTGTAGGTTTAAAACAAACCAGGCCCTGCACCTGCCCAAGAATCCTTTCTATTTTTTTTCCCAAGGACCAGCTAATAAAATTAATCTGGGGTGTGGGAGTTTTGTTGTTTTCCAACTGGAAAGCAGCATTTATGGCTTGAATGCTTTCAGAAACATACTTTCTTGGTTTGTGATCTGGATTACAAAATCTCAGCACTCTGATTCAAAACATACTAGGTGCATAAGTAAAACTGATGGCAATCTTTGAAACACCCAACTCTGGGTAATTGTGCATGGCCAGGCTGCAGGGAGAAATCAGAGAAGCCAGGCAATACTGACAGTAATTAAGGATCTGGGGGAAATCGACACAGAGGATGGGCCAGATTTCCTCCAGTTCATAAATTCCTCCCTCCGGAAAGCATCTAACTATGGGGTGCCACCAGGGGACCATTTAGTAAATTACCTGATTGCCTCCGTGCCTCAAATGGCCCCCAGGTGAAGTGGAGACTCAGCCCAAGACCTAGCACCAGGTCACTCCGGGAGCTTCCAACTCCACAAGTAGAGCAGATTGCACACCAGGGAGTGGGCTTGGGGCCCCTCATCCTCTGATATCATGCAGTTAGATGGGTCTGTTTTTATGACTCTGGCTGTGTCCATCCATGCTAAAGCAATCACTTGATTTGGTTAATTCAGTCAAACCCCCAGGTGGAAAACAGAGAAGCCAAGCCCAGTCGAGGCTGGCGGGCTGCATTCCAGAACAAGCAGCTCCTGACCTGTCCTCTCCTCCAGGTGCCCACAACCACGGAGATGTTCTGCTGCTATGGTCCTGTGGTCCCAAATGGGTATGGTGCCTGCTACAACCCCCAGCCAGAGACCATCCTTTTCTGCATCTCTAGCTTTCACAGCTGCAAAGAGACTTCTTCTAGCAAGTTTGCAAAAGCTGTGGAAGAAAGCCTCATTGACATGAGAGACCTCTGCAGTCTGCTGCCGCCTACTGAGAGCAAGCCATTGGCAACAAAGGAAAAAGCCACGAGGCCCAGCCAGGGACACCAACCTTGACTCCTGCCACTAGGTTTCACCTCCCAAACCCAGCCTCTAGAACAGCCAGACCCTGCAGATCCCCACTCCCGTCCCTTACCCCAGCTTTCCACAGCTCCCTGTCCTCAGGGTCCAACTCACAGACCATACAGAGACATCACACAGAGCCGGAGTGTTAGGAGGAAAGGGTCCCCTCTTCATGCATGGGAATCATCATTTTCAAGGTGGCTTTGGGCCTGCACACTGGGAAATGGGACCTGCCTGGCTCAGAGGCAGCCTGGATGCACTGGGGAACCACACTAAGGACTCCTTCTGTGGTCCTTGGAAGCTTAGTGTTCATGTCTCCTTCCCTAGCAGGACCTAGTATGTCCAGGTGATGCTTCTGCCCAAGGAAAGGATGAGTCACTCTATTACATGCAACGTACCTAATGAGTTAGGAAGGAAGAGGCTAACTCCAGGTCATTACCTCTTTTCTTTTTTGGGGGAGAGGAGGCTGTGTTTTGAGATTCAGAGCATTCTTATCGTGGCATTCCCAGTGTCTCCACTGAGCCGTACAGTCCTACAAGCACCCACTCCTCCCACACACACCACAGAGCCCAAGTCCATTTAAAATATAGTGACTTGGGCCCACAAACACATTTCTGCTTTCGTGCCCAGGGGCAGCCTTCTGTTGAGCTCAGAAAATTGTGTCCAGCTATTCTGAAAGGAAAAAAAAATTTATCTGTGACTGCCCTGGAGTTGCTGCCACTCTCTGCTTAGCAGGCGGCATCAGGGCCAGTCCAAGATGAGTAAACTGCACAGCCCCAAGCAGATGGTGCCTGGTGCCGGTGGGTTTGCAGAGGACCTGGCCCCTTCCCGGGGTCCTGCCATTTGCATTTTTTCTGCATCTTTTCCCCTCTCCTCCCCTCCTACATGCTCCAGTAGGTGAAGAGAGATGGTTACTTTGGGTTTTTCCATTATCTGTTTTGTTTTAAGACAGAGATTTTTAAGAAAACCACCCTGACATTAATTTCAGAAATTCTTAGTGATTCAAGCAGGACCCTTAGGCAGCTGGGCTCCTTTATTTGGAGCAGGCTATCCAGGGACTCTGACAAAAACCCATGTGGTAGAGCCTAGAGCAGGGCTCTCTTCTGGCCTCAGGGACTTAGGGGACAGCTGGCAGGGAGCAGGGCTGGGAGGAGGGCACAGCCTCCTCCAGAGTCAGCCCCAGCCCCAGCCCCAGCTCCAGCTCCAGCCCCAGCTCCAGCTCCAGCCCCAGCTCCAGCTCCAGCATGGGCAGGACAGGCAGGTCAGCAGAGGCAGAGTTGAGATGTCTCCAGAGACTGTGATCATAGGAGAGACACAAGAGGCACTTCCTATTAGAGCACATTTTTATGGGAAGTCTAAAGGGCAGAGGGAGGGAGTAAGAAAGCAACCAGAGAAATCTACAGCATAGAGCCCGTGTGTTCTGCTCCACATCCCTCCAATCCTGCTGCTTCCTGCTGAGCACTCTGCTCTAGCCCAGCAATCCTGTAGGTCTCCCTTCTTTGTGCCACTGTGAAGGCTCTCCACACTTCGACCTGGACTGTCACAGGCTGGCAGAGGTGGGGTGGGCATTTGACCTTTGCTCAGCTCTTTGAAAACACAAGCAGCCTCAAGAAGTGAGTTCCTTGAACCCCTGGTTTTAGATGGAGGATCTCTATTAGATGTCATGGGAGATTTGGGCACTACCCTTTGAACATACAAACTTAAGTCATTGGCCTGAGATTTATGCTCCTTCCCTCCCACGGCCACCTTCCTACTCTGCTTAGGAAGTTGCAGCACAAGGGTCCTGGGTTTTCTGGGGAAAGGCAGCCCACCTGCTGTAAGTTGGCCCAAAGCTACTTGTCTGTTCTCTCCAAGTGACCACAGTGCAGATCTGAGTTCTCCTCCGGTTCCTTTCCCTCCATGGATTTCTGCGCAGACATAGAGCTCCAGCTATGGGGCCAGGCAGCCCCACCAACCTCGGCCAAATGACATGCATGCCCAGAGACGCAGTTCCTTCCACTGTCAAATGAGAACAAGAGTGTCCCCACTTGCAAGACTATGAGGATTGGAGAGCATGTGTGTCAAGGACCTTGCTGGGTCAACAATTCATTTGCCTTTGTCTGGAGTCTGCCAGCAGCAGTAGCTAATGTCTAAAAGACACAGGGGCCAGGAGAGAAAAGGGAGGAAAGAACTAAGTCTCTCCTAGTCTATGGCATGCTATCATGGGGTCAAGTAGGGGCAGGGAGGCTTCATGGGGCCTACCTTTGGGATGACATTACCCCAGTGGGCATTGTTTGGGTGGTTTTCTTTTAAACTATTTACACTGATATGACAGACTCAAACTCATATTTGCTATTCTCCGAGCACATGGAAAGGTAACTCACTCTGTACATTCAGATATCAAACTATGCACTGTGAGGGCTATGAGAAGCGCAAACAGTAAACGCTTGGCAGGAGGGAACACTTCCTCTCTCTGAGGAAGAGGCTGGAAGCTGGTCTTCCCCCTCCAAGAATACACGGGTGCACTGAGTCTTTATGCAAAGGCAACACTGAGCCATGGCCAAGGGCATCTCTGCGGGGACCCTGGGAAAGGAGCCTGCTCCAGGTGTCCCCAAAGAGATGGAAAACAAGACAGTCATTTGGAACAGTGATGCATAATAAAATGTATGTGGCCACCTTACAATACTGCTAAGTTGCTAAAATATATAAAGTTAATATTTGAGTTCTATTTTTATAAAATAGTTCTAGATTTATGGCAATATAAACGTGTATAGCCTTTTGATTTTAATTTCTAGTTTTGTGCTTTGAAGAAATATATGTAAGATTAAAGAACTGTATATTGTAAGCATTATATTCAAATTATTTAAAAATTGTTCTAAGTCTATATTCAATAAAAAGTAATGCCAAGAAAGATGATGTTGCCCATTGTTTCTACCCAGACTCGCTTTAAAATGTAATGTCATAAATTCTCTGAGCTGGGTCAACAATTCATTTGCCTTTGTCTGGGGTCTGCCACCAGCAGTAGCCAATATCTAAAAGACACAGGAGCCAGGAGAGAAAAGGGAGGAGAGAACTAAGTCTCTCCTAGTCTATGGCATGCCATCACGGGGTGGGGTAAGGGGCAGGGAGGCTTCATGGGATGCTTGTGATCAGGTTGACAGAAACCTGGGTGTAGACAGGAAGTGGGTGTCTCCACTTAAGCCTGCACAAACATGTGTGGACAGCATGGGGAAGAGAAAAGAGCACAAGGCTCAGAGGCTGGATGCCTGGACAATAAACACAGCTCTGTTTCTAACTTACTGTGGACTTTGGGGAAGTCACTTCGCCTCTCTAGGCTTAGTTTCCTCATCTGTACAATGGGAATATTGATATCAGCATTACTCACTTCCAGGGTTGTAGAGAGATGATATGAGTTGGTGACTGTTTGAAAACTTAGGAAGTGGTGTAAAAGCCAAGCCTTCTTGTTGCAGGCTCACACAGACATACGCACACAGCTTGTTTTGCCCTGCACAGCTGAAATACATTCCAAGCTGCAAGATATCCTCATAGCCATGAAAATCCACAAAATCAGAACTGAGATTCCTCCAAACGGAAGCCCAAATGCCTTCCAATTGGACCCTAAAAAAGAACCTTGAAGTGTGTGGGTTTGTGGGATTTGGGATGCTGGAAAGGCACTATTCAAAGAGATAATGGCTAAGAGTAGTCCAGCAGGAGTGGAGGGGAAAGGGAAGAACAGGATCTGAGCAATATGGGTTTTGCTCTTATCACAGATGTCACAGCCATCCCCAAAGTAACCAGATGCAGAGACAGACACCGAGAGAAAGGCAAGAGCAGGCAAGCCGACATGCAACATACAAAACCACGCCACCCTCCTGAGGCCTCTGAAGCTCCCTGCGGGGTGGGTGTTGGTACAGAAGCAGGGAAGAGTCCCTCCCAGGTTCACAAGAGCAGCTAGAAGTTTCCAAATTACTCCTAAGCAGTTCTCCTTGGAGAGTAATGAGAGAGAGAGAGAGAGAGAGCGTGAGAGAGCGAGCTAGGTGGAGGGAGGGAGATTGAGAGAGACAGTGTGCAGTGCCTTGGGTTCCCTTTATAAATTCAGCCTATCTCCCTGCTTTTGTGCTTCTGAGTTTTCATTTCAAAGAAGCCTCTTGAGTCTGCAAGGTGAACAATATGCCACATCTGGGAAAAGCTGGCCACACATCCCCCGAAAGGACCTTTCTAAAAGCTGTTCTCCATGGCTCCCAGGGACCAGCTCTGTCCTTGTTCTTCTGCTGTGTGCTCCTCCCACCTCCTTCTGGGATTTCTCTCCCTATTTCTGCTGTGTATATGCCAATGGATCCCTTAGTCTCTGTTTCTTACATTAAGGTGCAGCAATATGGGCTGAGGTGATGCAGAAGCGCCCCTCCACCTGCAAAACCATATACAAAAAAAAGGAAAAGTTTTAAAATATATAATCAAGAGAAAGAAAGCAAGTCCTCACATTCCAGAAAAAAAGAAAGATGTCCAGAGCATAGCACTAAGCAGGAGCCCAAGGTGAAGCAGAACAGAGCCTCAGTGGCTCCAGCTGGGTTCACCGTCCCTGCAAGCAGAGAAGACATAACAACTCATGCAAGGCAGGAGAAGCAACTAAACTCCCTGCACAAACCAGGACCTCCCAGAGGCATGCCGACCATGTGACAAGAACTAGAAAAACCTTTCTCATCATCTCATCAGTGCAGGAGAGGAGAAAAAAAGCCTGCCATCCACAGGGCTGTAGAGGGGGGAAAAGACATCCATGAAAAAGTAAAACCATAAACTCATGCCATATGTGGATGAGGAGCTTGAATTCATACCGCTTATATGTAAAGCACGCACTCCAAGCCGATAATATTTTTTATTCTTGCCAAACATATTTATTTATTTTTATTTCAATAGCCTTTGGGGTACATGTGGTTTCAGATTATATGGATGAACTGTATAGCGGTGCAGTCTGAAATTTTAGTGCACCTGTCACCTGAGTAGTGTACGTTGCACCCAATACATAATTTTTTTAATCCCTCACCACCCCCCCACACTCCCCCTTCTGAGTCTCCATAGTCCATATCACTCTGTGTGCCTTTAAATACCCATAGCTTAGCTTCCACTTATAAGTGAGAACATATATATTTTTTTTTGTTCCTGAGTTACTTCATTAATAATGGCCTCCAGCTCTGTCCAAGTTGTGCAAAAGACATTTCCTTCTTTTTTTATGGCTGAGTATTATTCTATGGTATACATATTACATTTTCTTCACTCATTGGTTCATGGCCACCTAGATTGGTTCCATATCTTTGCAATTGTGAATTGTGCTGTAATAAATATACTTATGCAGGTGTCTTTTTGATATAATGACTTCTTTACCTTTTGACAGATGCCCAGTAGTGGGATTGCTGGATCAAACTGTAGATCTACTTTTCGTTCTTTAAGAAATCTCCATGTTGCTGTCCACAAAGGTTGTACTAATTTACATTCCCACTAACAGTGTATAATTGTTCCCTTTTCACCACATCCATGCCAACATCTATTGTTTTCTGAACTTTTAGTAATGGCCATTCTTGCAGGAATAAGGTGGTATCTCATTGTGGTTTTAATTTGCATTTCCCTGATGATTAGTGATGTTGAGCATTTTTTCATGTTTGTTGGCCATTTGTATATCTTCTATTGATAAATGTCTATTCGTATCATTTCTCACTTTTTGATGGAATTATTTGTTTTTTTTCTTGGTAATTTGTTTGAGTTCCTTGTATAATAGATTCTGGATATTAGTCCTTTGCTGAATGCATAGTTTGCAAATATTTTCTCCCATTTTGTGGGTTGTCTGTTTACTCTGTTTACTTACTTTTGCTGTACAGAAGCTTTTTAGTTGAATTAAGTCTCATTTATTTATTTTTGTTTTAGTTGCATTTGCTTTTGGAGTCTTAGTCATGAATTCTTTGCCTAGGCCAATGTCCACAAGAGTTTTTCCTAGGTTATGTTCTAAAATTTTTATGGTTTCAGGTCTTAAGATTTAAGTCTTTGATCCATATTGAGTTGATTTTTGTATAAGATGAGAGATAGAGATCCAGTTTCATTCTTCTACATGTGGCTAGCCAGTTTTTCCAGCACCATTTGTTGAATAGGTTGTCCCTTCCCCAATTTATGTTTTTGTATACTTTGTCAAAGATCAAATGGTTTTAAGTATTTGCCTTTATTCCTGGGTTTGCTATTCTGTTCTATTGGTCTATGTGTATACTTCTATGCCGATATCATGCTGTTTTGATAACTATCGCCTTGTAGTATAATTTGAAGTTCAGTAATATGATGCTTCCAGATTTGTTCTTTTTGGTTAGGATTGCTTTGGCTATTTGGTCTCTTTTTTGGTTCCATATGAATTTTAGGATCCTTTTTTCTAATTCTGGGAAAAATGATGTTGATATTTTGATAGGAATAGCATTGAATCTGTAGATCGCTTTGGCCAGTATGGTCATGTTCACAATATTGATTCTATGAACCCAGGAGCATAGGATATGTTTCCATTTGTTTTGTCATTTATGATTTATTTCAGCAGTGTTTTGTATTGTAGTTCTTCTTGTAGAGATCTTCCACCTCCTTGGTTAAGTATATTCCCAGGTATTTTATATTTTTTCCCACTGTTATTAAAGGGATTAAGTTATTAACTTGATTCTCAGCTTGGTCATTGTGGGTGTATAGCAGTGCTACTGATGTGTGTATATTGTCTTTTTAACCTGAGGCTTTCCTGAAATTGTTAATCAAATCTAGGAGTCTTTTGGAGGAGTCCTTACGGTTTCTCTAGGTATAAAATAATATCATCAGTGAACAGTGATAGTTTGACTTCCTCGTTTCTAATTCGGATGCCCTTTATTTCTTTCTCTTGCCTGATTGCTCTGACTAGGACTTCTGGTATTATGTTGAATAGAATTGGTGAAAATGGGAATCCTTGCCTTGTTCCATTCCTCAGGGAGAATGCTTTCAAATCTTCCCCATTCAGTTTGATGTTGGCTGTGGGTTTGTCATATATGGCTTTTATTATTTTGAGGTAAGTCCCTTTTATGCCTAGTTTGTTGAAAGTTTTTATCATAAAGGGAAGCTGAATTTTATTGAATGCTTTTTCCGCATCTATTGAAATGATCATATGGTTTTTTGTTTTTAATTCTGTTTATGTGATGTATCATATTTCTTAACTTGCATATGTTAAACTATCCCTGCATCCTTGGGATGAAACCCACTTGATCGTGGTGAATTATCTCTTTGATGTGCTCTTGGATTCAGTTAGCTAGTATTTTGTTGAGGATTTTTGCATCTATGTTCACCAGGAATATTGGTCTGTAGTTTTCTTTTTTGTTATATCCTTTCCTGGTTTTGGCTTTAGGGTGACTTCATAGAATGAGTTAGGGAGAATTCCCTTTATCTCAATATTTTGGAATAGTTTCAGTAGGATTCCAACCCAATAAAACCAAGTTGGCCTGGATCTGTAAGACCCAAGGGACCTCAGCAGACTCAAATACAAAAGCACTTTCCACTCTGCACACACCAAACACCCACAGAGGAAAACATTCCATTAAAGATGAGCTTGCAGAGCTAGATATATAAAGCAAATACTATCAGATCTAAAGGGAGAGAAGACTCCAATACAATAATAATGGGTTGCTGAAGTCCCCCACTCTCAGTATACTCAGTATACAAAAAAAAAAAAAATTGGATTTAAACTGCACTTTAGACCAAACGGACCTAACAGACATTTATTTACAGAACATTTCACTCAACAGCTACAGAATATATACATTATTCTCATTAGCACATGAAACATTCTCCAAGACAGACTATATGTTAAAACACAAAACAAATCTCAAAAAAAACTTAAAAATTGAAATCATATCAAGTATCTTCTCGTACCACAGTAGCATAAAACTAGACATCAACAAGAAGAGAAACTTTGAAAACCATATAAATACATAGAAATTAAAAAACCCGCTCCTGAATGACCATTAGGTCAATGAAGAAATTAAGGAGGAAATAAAAAAATTATTGAAACAAGTGAAAATCAAGACAAAACATACCAAAATATGGAATACAGCAAAAGTAGTACTAAGAGGTAAGTTTATAGTATTATAGTAACAAATGTCTATGTTTTTAAAAAAGTAGAAAGATTTCAAATAAACAATCTAATAGTACACCTCAAGGAACTGGAAAAGCAAGAACAAACCAAACCCAAAATTAATATAAGGAAAGAACTAATAAAGATCAAGGCAGAAATAAATGAAATAGAGACTTAAAAACAATACAAATGGTCAACATGAAAAGTTGGTTTTTCAAAAAGATAAACAAAATTGATAAACTGCTAGCTATACTAACCAAGAAAAGAAGACAGAAGGCCCAAATAAAATCAGAAACAAAAAAGGAGACATTACAATTGATACCACAGAAATACAAAAGATCATCAGAGACTATTATGAACAACTATATGCCAACAAGCTGGAAAACCTAGAGAAAATGAATAAATTCATGGACACACACAACCAAGGTTGAATCAGGAAGCAGTAGAAAACCTGAACAAACCAATAACTTGTAATGAGATTGAATCTGTAATCAAGTCTCCCAACAAAGAAAAGCCCAGGACTGGAAGGCTTCACTGCCAAATTCTACCAAAATTACAAAGGAGAACCAACACCAATTATTCCAACTATTCCAAAAAAACTGAAGAGGCAGAAACTCCTCCTAACTCATGCTACAAGGCCAGCATGACCCTGATACCAAAACCAGACAAGGACACACACAAAAAAGAGAAAACTACTGGCCAATATCCCTGATAAAAACAAATGCAAAAATCCTCAACATAATACTAGCAAATCAAATCCAATGACACATTAAAATGATAGTACACCATGATCAAGTGGGACTTATCACAGCGTTGCAAGAATGGTTCAAACATGCAAATCAATAAACATGATACATCACATCAACTGAATAAAGGACAAAAACCACATGATCATCTCAATAGATGCAAATAAAGCATTTGACAAAATTCAGCATCCCTCAACAAACTAGGTGTAGAAGGAACATACCTCAAAATAATAAAGCCCATATATGACAGATCCACAGCTAACATCATACTGAATGGGGAGAAGTTGAAAGCCTTTCCTCTTAAAACTGGAACAAGACAAGGATGTCCACTTTCATCTTTCACCATAATACTGGAAGTCATAGCCAGAACAATCAAATAAGAGAAAAATAGAAGGCTTCCAACTTGGAAAAGAAGAAGTCAAGTTGTTGCTCTTTGCAGATGACATGATTTTACACCTAGAAAAACCTAAAGACTCTATCAAAAAACCTCTCAGATCTGATAAATGAATTCAGTAAAGTTTCAGGATACAAAAGCAACCTACAGCAATCAGTAGCATTTCTATATAACATTAATGAACTATCTGAGAAAGAAATGGAAAAGGCAATCCCACTTAAAATCGCTACGAAAAACCAAACTACCTAGGAATAAATTTAACCAAGGAAGTGAAAGACCTGTACAAGGAAAACTACAAAATATGTATGAAAGAAATTGGAGATGACACAAACAAATGGAAAGACATCTTATGCTCACAGATCAGAATAATTAACATTGTTAAAATTGTCATAATACCCAAAGAAATTTGCCGATTAAATGCTATTCCTATCAAAATATCAACAGCATCTTTCCCAGAATTAGGAAAAATGATACTAAAATTCCTGTGGAACCAAAAAGGAGCCCAAATAGCCAAAGCAATTTGAGCAAAAAGAACAAAACAAGAGGCATTACTTTACCTAATTTCAAAATATATTACAGATTCTATAGTAACAAAAACAGCGTGGTATTGATATAAAAACAGACACATTACCCAATGGAACAGAATAGATAACCCAGAAATAAATCCATATATTTACAGCCAAACTGATTTTCAACAAAGGCATGAAGAACATACATTAGGGAAAAGACACCCTCTTCAATAAACGGTGTTAGGAAAACTAGATATCCTTATCCAGAAGAATGAAACTGAACTCCTATCTCTCACTATATACAAAAGCCAACTCAAGATGAGATTAAAGGCTTAAATGTAAGACTCAAAACTATAAATCTACTAGAAGAAAACATAGAGGAAACACTTTAGGACATTGGCGTAGGCAAAGATATGGCTAAGACCTCAAAAGCACAGGGAACCAAAACAAAAATATATGAATGAGACTATATTAAACTAAAAAGCTTCTGCACTACAAGGAAAGCAATCATCAGAGTGAAGACAGAACCTGTTGTATGGGAGAAAATGGTTTGCAAACTATTCATCTGATAAGGGATTATTATCCATAATATATAAGAAACTCAAACAACTCAACAGTTAAAAAATAATAACCCCATTAAAAAGTAGTCAAAGGACATGAATAGACTTTTCTCAAAAGAAGACACACAAGTGGCCAACCGGTATACAAAAAAATGCTCAACATCACTAATCATCATCACTAATCATTAGGGAAATACAAATCAAAACCACAAAGAAATATCATCTTACTCTAATTAGAATGGCTATTAGTAAAAAGACAAAAAATAACAGATGCTGGTGAGGATGCAGAGAAAAGGGAACTCATACACTGTTAGTGGGAATGTAAATTGTACAGCCATTATACAAAATAGTACGGAGATTTCTCAAAAAACAAAAAATAGAACTACCATATGATTCAGCAATCCCACTACTGAGTGTCTGTCCAAAGGAAACAAATCATTATATCAAAAGGTTACCTGCACTCTCATGTTTATTGCAGAGCTATTAGCAATAGCAAAGATATGAAATCAACCTAAGTTTCCATCGACGGATGAATGGATAAATAAAATGTGGCATATATACACAATGGAATACTATCTGACCATAAAAAAATAAAATCATGTCATTTGCAGCAACATGGATGGAACTGGAAGTTCTTATGTTAAGTGAAATAAGCCAGGCATAAAAAGACAAGTATCATGTTTTCACTCATACGTAAAAGTTTAAAAGTCCATGTCATGGAGGTAGAGAGCAGAATGATAGTCAACAGAGGCTGGGAAGGGTGTGGAGGTGGGAGATGAAGAGAGGGTGGTTAATGAGTACAAACATATAGTTAGATACAAGGAATATGTTCTAATGTTCAATAGCAGAATAGGGTGACTATAGTTAACAACAATGTATTGTATATTTCAAAATAACTGGAAGAGAGAACTTGAAATGTTCTTAACACATAGAAATTATAAATGCTTGAGGTGATGAGTATCCTAAATACCCTGACTTGATCATTATATGTTCTGTGCATGTTACAAAATACCACATGTACCCCACAAATAGATATATTATTTATCAACTAAAAACCTCATAGTAAAATGGAATTAGAAAAGATCTAACTTGGCCTGACAAAGAGAATCTACAAAAAACCCATACAACATACATCATACTAAAAGGGGAATGTTGGAAATGATTGGTTCCTATAAGAATCAAGTTAAAGGGAGAATATGTACTGTCATCACTTTTATTCATTGTTGCACTAGAGATTTTAATTGGTACAATAAAAAATAAAATAAAACTGGTCATTGTCTGCAGCCACTATGATTATTTACATAGAAAACCCCAAAGAATCTACAAATAAATTAATAGAAAGCATTAAAAAGGTCAAGGTGGCTTTTATAAAATCAGCACATAAAAGTCCATTTCATTTTACATACCAGCAACAAATAATAAAATCACAATTAAAAAGATGTTTACAATAGTGCCCAGGGATAAATCTAACAAAAGACATGAAAAATATGCAGATCATTACAAACATATTGAAAGACATTGGAGAAGATCGAAATAAAGGAGAGGTATTCCAAGTTCACAAATAGGAGGGCCTCAGAAAGAAGTCGGTTCACTCAAATTGATCTATAGATTCAATGCAACTTAAGTCAAACTCTCAACAAAACTTCTGCTTCCATATGGCAGGCTAGTTAATTTGAACTAGGCTTCTTGAAGATGAGATCTTTTAAAATCTGGCATATATCTTTTAAAAAAGCATAAAAGAGCTTACTGAATGAAAATTAGAGAGAGAGCAAGAGTAATTAAGCATAGCATTGGGGCTTCTCTTACCCCAGGGCTATCTAGTGCTCTTGAATAGGCGGTCTAGAGAATGACCTGCATTTTTTCAGTCCTTGCAGATGTAGAGGGTACAAGAACTGGAGTCCGGCACCACCAAGGATGGGGAAACCCTGATAAGTCACCACCCTCCTTAAGTTAGGATCCCAAAGGACTGCACCACAGGAATTAGGATTAAATATAAATCAACCAATCTCCAAATGGACTGTAGCCCAGTTTTGAGTCATCTGGATGGCTCAGAAAAATCTCAAACTCTGAAACTGTATGAAGATGATCCTGGGTTGGTACAAGTAGGAGTTAACAAGAAGTAAATTTTAAAATCTTCTATAGGGGAAGATACTATCTTAGGCCTCAAATTGTTTCTACAAATACTTTTTTAATACAATGTCCAGCACACAATTAAAATAAACCAGAACTCTAGGAGACAAGATAAAATGCGTAGAAACCAGCGGAAATAATAAACCGCAGGACAAACACATGGGTTCTCCAAACAATGGAATTCTCAAACACAGTCTATAAAATACCTATCTTTACTACAATGAAGGAGATAAAGCCAAACCTAAAACACTTGGGAAGAAACTGAAAGTGGCACAGCAGATTTGAAAAGAGAACAAACTAAAATTCTAGAATTGAAAAATATATAACTGGAATAAACAATCAAATTCCTGGCTTTTCTTCTCAGTTAAGAGCCAAAAAGAAAATTCGTAGACTGGATTACAGGTAAAAATGAATGAATGCATGCATACAAACGTGTATACATACAACCCCAAAAGAAGTATGGAAGAAGAAAAAAGAGAAAAGCACAGAGAAGACACATGCAGATTACAATGAGAAGGTCTAACATATACCTAGCTGGAGTCCCTGAGAATGAGAAAATGGAACAAAAGCAATATGTGAAGAAATAATGACTCAAACTTTTCCAAAAACTGATGAAGGACTTTAATTCAGTTTCAAGAATCTCAACAAATCCCAAGAGAGGTAAAATATACAGTAGCATACGTTGAGAGAATTAGTGGGAAAGGGTTTTTTAAATCCTTTACTGTTACAGTAAAACTACAGAAAGCAAGAGATAAAGAAACATAAGCGGTCTTGAAAACAGAAGAGTAACGGAAAACAACTATTCATACAAAACTTTTAGCAAAGTTAAAACAACGTTAAATTTCTAATTAATAAAAACACTACAGTGAGTAGAGGATTTTTGCCTTTAAAGACGTGTACAAAGTTTATAGAGAACCAGAAAATAAGTCCTTCTAAGACAAGACAGGTAACCACATAGAGCCAAGAGGATGAATAATGACATCATGTACAGTCCTGCCTTCCTCCATAGTCTGCTGGGTTCAGCTGTGTTGGTGAATTCAGTGGTTCTTGTCCGATGGTGCGAAACTCAAGTGCTGGGGGAAATTATGTATGACCCATAATAATGTCAAAATTCTGCTGATATCATTCCTCTATTTAACAATCGTGTATAAACTAATTCTCATCAAAGAAATATGTATCATAGAACATACTGTACACGTGGAGAGAATTAAAATACACAGTAGCATACGTTGGGAGAATTAGTGGGAAAGGGTTTTTAAAATCCTTTACTGTTCAAAAGGAGGGTAAAAATATCAACTACAATTGAATATTTAGAAAGTAAAGAAATGCTGTAATCGCAAGGGTATTGCGATTGTTAGGTTGGGCTAATTTCTGTAATAAACAACCCCCAAAATCTCAGTGGTTATGGAATAAATGTTTCCTTCTGGCTTCGGTCACCAACTAATGCAGATGGGTGGGGCTCTATTCGGCGCAGCTACTCAGTGGTCCAGGTTCCTCCCACGTTTTGGGTCTGTCTCCCCGGGAGCCTCGGGTCCTCCCTGGGATCCCGTATCTGGCTACCGATAAGAAGAGGGAGACAGCAGGTGTGGAGGAGACTTTTTAGGAGCCATGCCTAGAAGTGGTGGATGTCTTTTATGTCCAAATTCCAATGAGCAGAACTGAGCAAATAAAAGGGAATTGGACGAATTCAGTTTTGGCTCCACCAAATAGCCTAACTGGTGACAGAAGGGGCCGGGGGAAGAAGGTGGGGGAAGAAGAATGATGAACGAATACTCCCAATCAATCAAAAAGAGGCAAGAAAATAGAAGAAATGCAAGGGTTTCCAATCCATACTACACCCCTGTCACTCTTGGGACCGCAACTTGCCCTCCCAGAGCCTCGGTTTTGTAAACAAAAAACATAAAATACTTCCTAGGGATGGTAAACTGATTCAACCAGATAACGCAGGGAAAATGCTTCGCACGCCGCCTGACACGAACTTACTGTGCCTGGCTGCTGCTGTTATTTATCACTAACACTTGCCACACCAGCTCAAACGCGCGTATTTGCGGACCAGGCGCTGAGGGTCACGTGAGCAGCTTGGGGCCGGGAGGATCCCCTAGCGCCACCCCGGCCCCGCCCGGCGCGTAGCGACGCCCACGCGCCCGGGCCGGAAGAGAGGTTGCTTAGCAGCGTGTGTTTCTCCCTTGCCTCTGCGGCGGCGGAGGCCTGGCGATGCCCAAGAACGCAGTGGTCATCCTGCGCTATGGGCCCTACAGCGCGGCAGGCCTACCGGTGGAGCACCACACCTTCCGCCTGCAGGGCCTGCAAGGTGGGCCTCCTCGCCGCGTGCGCCCCTGAGGGCCCCAGCCTCTGAGCATCCGTGCAGGTGGTGCCCTGTGCCTAGGCCTTCCTCAGACCCCCACGAAGCGCCACCTCTCCAGGAAGTCTTCCCCAGGATGATGTTGCAACCTATGGCTTCCAGGGCTGGGCTAAAAGAGTGGGAAGGCTCTTCTATCCAAGAGTGAGCTGTGGGCCCACCCAGTGCCCAGCAAATTACAGAAATTACCTCCATAGAAAAAATTACATAACCCTGCTTTAAGAATTGGGAAACTGAGGATCAAGAATATTAAGTGACTTTCACAACTCAAATGGCTGGGAAGTAGCGTTGCTGGTATTCCATCTCTTAATCGTTCATGCAGCAGACTTTTATTAAGCACGCAGTGTGTGTTGGACACCCTTCCAGGGACTGAGGACACACTGTTAAACAGTGATGAATGTCCTTGAAGTAATCTCCTTGTTAACTGCTAAATGACAGCTGTGCCTAAGCTCTGACTGAGGCTAGGTGGTGCCATGGGAGCTAACCACAGTGGGACCTGTGACTAGCCATAATGGGAGGGGAGAGGGAGAGGTCTGGAAAGGCTCATTTAAGTGGAGCCTTAAATGAGCCCACATTTAAGTAGACCTTTAAAGAATGAGTAGAAACTAACCAGGTAAAGAGAGGAATGCCTTCCAGGCAGAGGGACTAATAATATAGGCAATGGCTGGAGGCATTCAATAAATGATGTATTAATATTTGTTAAACTGATGGGGGATGAGGCTGGAGAGGTAATCAGGCCAGATCCTGCAGTGCCGCAGATAAGTTTTAGGCAGGGGATGAAGCTGTTGCTGCTCTGAGGAGAACAGATTAGAGGGGGCAAGAGTGGAAACAAGGAAGACAAGTCTGTTGGGGTGGTCCAGGGCTGAGATGAGAGTAGCTTGGACCATAAAGGAGACCATGGATCAAAGTGAAAGCAATGGTACTTCCTGAGAGGATGGAGGTGGGAGGTAAGGGTAAAAAGAATGTTATCCGGATCTAATCAGTGTCTGACTTGAAACAGTGCTGATGGATGGATGTACTGTCCACTAAAATCAAAGACACCAAAGATGGACCAAAATTTGGAGGAATATGTGGAATCGTTCCAAAGGAACAGTCTATTTTGGTCATACAGATAGTCCCCAACTTAGACTTCTTGACTTTAGCATGGGTTTATTGGGAGGTAACCCTATCCTAAGTTGAGGCACATCTGAACCTACAATGGTTCCACTTAACGATTTTTCCACTTTATGATGGGCTTATCCAGGTATTAAGCCCACTTTCCACTTACAGTGGGCTCATTGGGACCTAGCCCCATCATAAGTCAAGGAGCATCTGAATTAAGCTTCATGTGCTTTCGGCTACCTAGACAGAGGTGCTGAATCAGCTCTGTTGTTCTGGAGTTCAGAGAAAAAGTCTGAAATGGAGATAGAAAGATGTGAGTCATTGACTTGGAGAGAACATATAGAATGAGATGAGAGCCCAGGAATGACCATTGATGAACTCCCATCCTATGACCCAAACTAAGAGTCTTCCAGGCAAAATACCCTGAAGCCTAAGGACACAAAAATTAGTTTTAGCTGAGCAATCAGGGAAAGCCTCCTGGAAGAGATGGCATTTGAGTTTGAGTTTGAAGGATGGGTAGGATTTCAATCAGCAGAGGAAGTTACTTTCTGTGAGAGAACAGTTGATAGAGAAATTTCTGTTGCAAATACCTCCATGTTTGTATTTGTCTATTGGGATTGCCAAAACAAAATACCATAGACTATGGGACTTAAACAATAGAAATATATTTTTTCAGTCTAAAGGCTAAAAGTCCCTGATCAAGGTCTGGCAAGGTCAGCTTCTGGTGAGGGCTCTGGGCGCTCTTCCTGGCTTGCTGACAGCCACCTTCTCTTTTGTCCTCACCTGGTGGGATTATATGGGGAGAGCGGGGAGCAAGCTCACTGGTGTCTCTTCTTATAAGAAGAAAGACACTAATCCTATCAGATTGGGTCCTCATCCTTATAACCTCATTTAACCTTAATTACCTCTTTAAGCACCTGTAGTCACATTGGGAGTTAGGGCTTCCATATATGAAGTTGGGGGAAGGGGGGCAACAATTCAATTCCTAGCAGTGTTGCATGGTGATGTTTAAAATGTTTTGTAGTTTTGGCTAAGAAGACAGCCTAAATAAGTGACTTTTCTCTTCCTCCCCCTCTGATGAGCCACACCTACCCACCCTCACCTCATAATCTACCTTTAGTTTATGTTCACTGTCTCTAAAAATAACGTGGGTAAAACATATATTTAAAATGTTGCCATTTTAACCATGTTAAGCATACAATTCAGTGACATTAATTATCTTTACAATGTTGTGGAACCATCACTATTCTCTCTTTTTAAAATTTTTCAACACCCCAGACAGAAACTGTATTCCTTAAGCAACAACACCCTATCCCTCTGTGTCCA
The DNA here is from genome assembly GCF_000001405.40 of Homo sapiens. NCBI lineage: Eukaryota > Metazoa > Chordata > Mammalia > Primates > Hominidae > Homo > Homo sapiens. The sequence continues at coordinate 49,682,270 of NC_000010.11, forward strand.
GAATTTATTCCTTCTGGTGGGTTCATGGTCTCGCTGACTTCAAGAATGAAGCCAGGGACCTCGCGGTGAGTGTTACAGCTCTTAAAGGTGGTGCATCCAGAGTTGTTTGTTCCTCCTGGTGGGCTCGTGGTCTCGCTGACTTCAGGAATGAAGTTGCAGACCCTTGCAGTGAGTGTTACAGCTCTTAAAGGTGGTGCAGACCCAAAGTGAGCAGCAGCAAGATTTATTATGAAGAGTGAAAGAACAAATCTCCCAAAGCGTGGAGGGGGACAGGAGCCAGTTGCTGCTGCTGGCGCAGGGGGACAGGAGCCAGTTGCTGCTGCTGGCGCAGGTGGCCAGCTTTTATTCCCTTAGTTGGTCCCGCCCATGTCCTGCTGATTGGTCCATTTTACAGAGTGCTGATTGGCTCATTTTACAGAGTGCTGATTGGTGCATTTACAATCCTCTAGCTAGACACAGAGTGCTGATTGGTGCATTTACAATCCACTAGCTAGACAGAAAAGTTCTCCAAGTCCCCACCCGACCCAGAAGCCCAGCTGGCTTCACCTCTCACCTCCACCCCCAGCCCCTGGTAACCTGCAATCTACTTTGTAGCTTATTTCACTTAGCATAATATTTCAAGGTTTATCCATGCTACAGCATGTATTATACTACTTTATTCCTTTTTGTGGCAGATATGCCATATTTTGTTTATCTGTTTATCTGTTGATAGACACTTGGGTTGTTTCCACCTTTCCGCTACTGTGAATAGTGCTGTTATGAACACTGGTAAACAAATATCTGTTTGAATCCCTTTGTTTTAAGGGACTGAAATTGCTGAGTCATATGGTAATTCTATATTTAACTTTTTGAGGAATGACCAAACTGTTTTCCAAAGCAGCTGCACCATTTTACATTCCCACTAGCAATGCACAAGGATTTCAATTTTCTTTGGTTTTAATTACAGCCATCGCAGTAGGTGTGAAATGGTAGCTTGTGGTTTTCACTTAAATTTCCCTAATGATTGGTGATGTTGAACATCTTTTCATGTGCTTATTGGCCATTTGTATGTCTATGGAGAAATGTCTGTTCAAGTCCTTTGCCCATTTTTTAAATTGGGTTGCACTTTTTTTTGTTACTGAGTTGGAAAATTTCTTTAGATATTCTGAATATGAGACCCTTAATAGATAAATGATTTGCAAATATTTTCTCCCACTCTGTAAATTATCTTTTCACTTTCTTGGTAGTGTCCTTTGATGCACAAAATTTTTAATTTTAATGAAGTCCAATTTATCTGTTTTTTTCTTATTTTGCCTGTGATATGCTGTTTAAGAAACCATTGTCTGCTGGGCATGGTGGCTCATACCTGTAATGCCTGCACTTTGGGAGGCTGAGGCAGGTGGATCACTTGAACCCAGGAGTTCAAGACCAGCCTGGTTTGAAGTTCAAAACCAGCCCTTTTTGTAGAAACCAGCCATCTCTATAGAAAACACAAAAATTAGGTGGGTGTGATGGCACGCACCTGTAGTCCCAGCTACTCAGGAGGCTGAGGTGGAAGGATCGCTTGAGCCCTGGAGGCCGAGGTTGCAGTGAATCAAGATTGTGCCACTGCATTCCAGACTGGGTGACAGAGCAAAAGACTCTGTCTAAAAAAAAGAAAGAAACCATTGTCAAATCCAAGATTATGCAGATTTGCCCCCATGTTTTCTTCTAAGAGTTTTATAATTCCTAAATTTAGATCTTTGATCCATTTTGAGTTAATTTTTGTATATGGTGTAATGTAAGGGTCCAAATTCATTAAAAAGATATTCATATGGATATCCAATTATCCCAAGACCTTTTGTTAAAGTGACTGTTCTTTACGAATTGAATGGTCTTCGCACCCATGTCAAGAATCAACTGACTGTTCATTCACATCAGTCACTGTGAACATTTATTTCTAGGCTCTCAATTCTATTCCATTGCTTTATATGTCTATCCTTATGTCAGTATCACATGAGTTTGATTACTGTAGCTTTCTAGTAAGTTTTGAAATCAGGAAATGTGAGTCTTCCAACTTAGTTTTTTCTCAAGATTGTTTTATCTATTTTAGGTCCCTTGCAGTTCCCTATGAATTTTAAGATAGGTTTTTCCACTTCTGCAAAAAACACCATTGGGAATGTGATAGGTATTGCATTGAATCTGTATAATCCTTTGGGTAGTATTGTTATTTTAACAATATTAAGCCGTTTAGTCCATGCACACAGGATGCATTTTCATTTATTTAGATCTTTCTTAATTTATTTTAGCAACTTTTATAGTTTTCAGTGTATAAGACTTGCACCTAATTGTTTGCATATATTCCTGTTTTGTTCTTTTAGATACTACTATAAATGGAATTGTTTTCTTTATCTCCTTTTCAGATCAATCATTGCTAGTGTGTAGAAATACAACTGCTTTTTGTGTGTTAATTTTGTTAATTCCTTCAACTTTGCCAATTTCATTTATTAGCATTAACAACATTTTTTTAAGAACACTAGCAGTTTTGGGGTATAAGATTATGCAATCTGCAAATAGAGGTAGTCTTCTTCCTTTCCAATTTAGATGACTTTTATTTCTTTTTCTTGCCTAATTTATCTGGCTGGTACTCCTAATACTATGTTAAATAGAAGTGCAAAGGTGGGCATCCTTGCCTTGTTCTTGATCTTAAGGGGAAAACGTTCAGTGGGCCTCCTTCAATCAGTTGAAGGCCTTAAGAGAACAAACATTGATGTTTTTCAAAGAACAAGGGATTCTCCCCAAGACTGCAACATAGAAACTCTACCTCTGTCTGTAGCCTAGCCTGTGAACCAATTCCTTAAAACCTCTCTGCTCTCTTTCTCTCTCTCTCTCAAACACACACATACACACACACACGCACACACACAGATGGTCCCTGACTTACAATTGTTTGACTTTTGATTTTTGACTATATGCTGATGCTTTCAGCTGTGTACATTAATGGTGAGTACCCATACAACCCCATTCTGTTTTTCACTTTCAGTATAGTATTCAATAAGTTATGTAAAATATTCAACACTTTATTGTAAAATAGGCTTTGTATTAGATAATTTTGCCCAGCTGTAGGCTAATGTAAGTGTTCTCAGCATTTTTAAAGTAGACTAGGCTAAGCTATGATGTTCAGTATGTTAGGTGCCCTAAATGCATTTTTAACTTAAAATATTTTCAACTTACAATGGGTTCATCAAGACTTAAGTTCACTGTGAGTTGAGGAACATCTGTACATGTGTATAATGTATATATATTTGTGTATGTATATGTACACACACACACACTTACACACACATATATTTTATTGGTTCTCTTTCTCTGGAGAATTGTGACCAATACAACAGGTTCTTGTTTTTTTCCTTTCTGCACTTTAAATATGTATCCCACTGCCTTCTGGCCTCCATGGATTCTGATGAGAAAGCTGATAATCTTATTGAGAATCTGTGTGTGATGAGTCATTTCTTTCTCACTGCTTTCAAGATTCTCTCTTTGTCTTTTGACAATTTGTTTATAATGTGTCTTAGTATAATACTTTTTGAGTTTATCCTGCTTGGAGTTGGTTGAGCTTCTTGGATAGGTATTTTCATGTCTTTCATCAAATTTGGGGAGTTTTCAGCCATTATTTCTTCAGATATTCTTTCTGTCCCTTTCTCTATTTCCTTTTCTCCTGGGACTTTCACTAGGTATATGTTGTTATACTTGAGGGCATCCCACAGGTCTCCAGGGCTGTTCATTTTTCTTCATTCTTTTTCCTTTCTACTCCTCAGACTGGGTTGTTGCAGGAAGTCAGAGACCCTGAACAGAGGGACCAGCTGGAGCTGAGGCAGAAGAACATAAATTGTGAAGATGTCATGGACATTTATCAGTTCCCAAAATTAATACTTTTATAATTTCTTACACCTGTCTTTACTGCAGTCTCTGAAAATAAATTGTGAAGATTTCATGGACATTTATCACTTCCCCAATCAATACTCTTATAATTTCTTATGCCTGTCTTTACTTTAATCTCTTAATCCTGTTATCTTCATAAACTGAGAATGTACGTCACCTCAGGACCACTATTTTACAAATTGATTGTAAAATATGTGTGTTTGAACAATATGAAATCAGTGCACCCTGAAAAAGAACAGAATAACAGTGATTTTCAGGGAATGAGGGAAGATAAACAGGAGGTCTGCCTGCGGGGTCGGGCAGAATACAGCCGTATTTTTCTTCTTGCAGAAAGCCTGTAGACAGACGTGTGAGTAGGAGAAATATCGCTGAATTCTTTTCCCAGCAAGGAATATTAATAATTGAGAACCTGGGAAAGGAATGCATTCCAGGGGGTAGGTCTATAGATGGCTGCTCTAGGAGTATCTGTCTTATGCGGTTGAGATAAGGACTGAAATACGCCCTGGTCTCTTGCAGTACCCTCAGGCTTACTAGGATTGAGAAATTCCAGCCTGGTAAATTCTAGTCAGACCGGTTGTCTGCTCTCGAACCCTGTTTCCTGTTAAGATGCTTATCAAGACAATGAGTGCACAGCGGGACATAGACTCTCATCAGTAATCCTAATTTTGCCTTGCCCTGTGATCTTTATTGCCCTTTGAAGCATGTGGTCCTTGTGACCTACTCCCTGTTGGTACACCTCCCTCTGGAATCAAGAACCAGAGTCCCATACTGGGAACACAGGCTGCTATCTTCAAGACTGCCACCAGGTCAGAGAAAAGGTGAGGCAAGGGCAGGCAAACATGCCACAAAGCTTTCCTACCATTTTAAAGTTGCCTTTTCTTTGATTCAGTATTCACTTGGTTGCTGTAGACCTTTGACTGTTTTCCAGAGTTTTGACAATGTTGGTTCTGACTGTTTCTGGGTTTTGTTTTGTTTTTTATGTATCTGCAGAGGAATGGGAGTTTGGAGCTGTCTGCTCTGCTGTTTTGCTGACATAAGTTCCTTGCTCCTGCCACAACCAGCATGATTGTAGGAGTTCCATTAGATCATTTACATACCAAAAATTTTATTAAAGCAGGATGCATAAATGAACATTTTGTTATAATACACAACTTATCAGTATTGGGGGGGAAACTCCCCATCTAGTTTGTCCACAAATCATGTCAGCTTTAGTTGTCACCTCTCCCTGGTCACTTATCTCCTGCCTACATTTTTGGCACTTCTGGCAGGGAGATGGCATGAGCAGAGGATAAGCACAAGGGCTCTGAAGTCAACACATATGGTTTGAATTGGGCTCCACCATTTAGTAGCTTTGCAGTCAAGGTGAAAATCAAGTGGTTTTACCTTTATGAGCCTCAGTTTCCTTGTTGGTAACAGAGGAATGTGAATCCCTGCCTCACCAATGTGAGATTCTGATGAGCAAGTGCATGTAAAGTAATTAACTCCATGCGTACACACAGTCAGGGCTCTGCAAGCGTTAGTTCTTATTGTTCCTGAGGAAGGCTCATTGCGAAGGGGAGGTGCAGGCAACCTGGGCACTTCTGGGGAGCAGCAGGCTATTGGGTCTGGTTGGAGGAGGATGTGCAACAGGAGAGTCCAGCCTGTCTCATCCTTGGCAACAGGAAGCCAGTGAAGGTTCTTGAGCTAAAGGATGATGAGATCTGGGATGTACCTTAAGAGTCCAATTTTGGAAGAAGAAATTTAAGAAGGAGAAATGGCAGGGTGTGGGGTGGAATGAACTATTAAGAAATATTAAGCCAGTGGCTGGAAATTACGTTCTGGAGTTTGGAAGAAAGATGAAGGCAGGAGATTTGAGTCAGGAGTAGCTATGACTTTAAATGACATTTATATGCGATGAACTTCCAAATTTATGTCTTTAATCAGGACCTCTCGTAGCCACTGCCATGTTGAGTAGGCATCTCAGACTTAGTATGCCCCAAATTTCCAGCTAGACCCCTAGCACTCACCCCCACCAGCAGCTCTGCCCACTTTCCCTCTCCACTGCTCACAGCAGCTCCATCTTGCAGTTTCTCAGGCCAGACACCCTGCAGGCACCTCTCACTCCTCTTTCCCTTACACTCCCTGTTTAGTCTGTCAACACAATTTGTCAGCTCTGCCCTCAAAGTACGCCCAGAATTAATCCCTCTTAGGCCTCCTGACTACCCCCTCTGCATTTTTTGTCCACCCGCCATCATCTCCTGCCTGGATTACTGCCCTGGCCTCCTGACTTCCCTGCAACCCTCATCTGCTTGCAGTTTGTTCTCAGTAACACAGCCAGCTGATACCGGTAAACCTGAATCACATGAAACAGCATGACCTTTACCCCTGAGAACATTCCAGG